>NC_000006.12:66549776-66852806 GCF_000001405.40 Homo sapiens | reverse complement strand
TTATGATAGCATCTTTAGCCAAGCAAGTGAAAAATCTATATACTGAGAATTTAAAAACTTCAATGAATAAAATTGAATCAGACACAATAAATTGAGAGATATCCTGGATTTGTGAATTAGGAGACTACCTAAAGTGATCTTCAGATTCCATGCAATTGCTTTCAAAATCTCAATGGCATTTTTCACAGAAATAGAAAGACAATCCTAAAATTCATTCAGAACCACAAAATACTGTGAAGAGCCAAAGCACTCTTAACGGAAAAGAAAAACACAACAAAAAAGCTGGAGGCATTACACTTTCTTATTTCAAATTATACAAAAATATAGTAGTCAAAATAGTATGATACTCACATAAAAAGCAGACACATAGACCAATGGAACAGAATAAAGAGCTCCAAAATAAACTCAGTGTATACAGCCAATAATTTTATGAGGCCATGAAAATGACAAAATGGTTAAAGGATTTTGTGTTTTCTTCAATAAATTTTGATACAAAAACTGGATAGCCGCATACAGAAGCCTAAAGTTGGACCTTTGTTTTACACCATACACACGAATCAACTCAAAGTGGATTAAATAACAAAATATAAAATCTTACATCATAACACTCCTGAAAGAAAACAGGGAAGAACTCCCTGATGTGGATCTTGGCAATAGTTCCGTGGATATGAAACCAAAAACACAGCCAACATAAGCAAAGTGTCAGTGGGACATCAAGCTAAAATGTTCAATCCACCACTTGAAAAGGCAGTTTAGAAATTGAGAAAAGATAATGCAAACCACATATCTAAAAAGGGTTTAATTTAAAAAATATATGAGTAACTCATAAAATTAATTGTAAAAAAACAAATACAGTCATGCACTGCATAATGACATTTCAGTAAAATGATGAATAGCATGTATGGTGGTGGTCCCATAAAATTATAACACCATATTTTTACTGTACCTCTTCTATGTTTAGGTATATTTAGATACACACATACATACCTTTGTATTAAAATTGCCTATAGTATTCAATACAGTAATATACGATACAGGTTTGCAGCCAAGAGTAATAGGAGTTTACTAGGCTATAACATCTAGGTTTCTATAAGTACGCTTTATGATTTTTGCACAAAGGTGAAATTGCCTAACGATGCATTTCTCAGTATATATTCATGTCATTAAGCAATGCAAGACTGCAACCCAAGTAAAAGAATGGTCAATGGACCCGAATCAACATTTTTTCACAGAAGACATACAAATGGCTAACAGAAATATGAAAAGGTGCCCAGTATCACTAATCGTTAGGGAATTGCAAAGCAAAACCACAGTGAGGCATCGGTTTCACACCTGTTAGAATAGTCATTATCAAAAAGAAAAAGATAAACCATGTTGGTGAGATGTGAAGAAAAGGGAACCTTTGAGAATGTAAATTGGTATAGTCATTATGGAAAACAGTATGTAGTTTCCTAAAAAAACCATAATTTCTGTATGACCTATATAACTTTTTGCTGCATATATACCCAAAATAAATGAAATTAGTATCTCAAAGAGATATCTACATTCACTTGTTTGTTGAAGCATCATTTACAATAGCCAACATAAGGAAGCAATCATAGTGTCCATCAGTGGATAAGTGGATAAAGAAATTATATATAACAGAGGTATTAAAATTGCCTACAGTATTCAATATAGCAATATGCTATACAGGTTTGTAGTCAGGAGCAACAGGAGTGTAGTAGGCTGTACCATCTAGGTGTCTGTAAGTACACTCTATAATTTTTGTACTATATATATATATATATATATATATATATATATATATATATATAGGCAATTTCTATATATATCGCCATGTATGACAATATGGATGAGCCTAGAGGACATTATACTAAATGAAATAAGCCAGATTTGGAAACAAAAATGCTATATCATCTTACTTATGCATAGAACATTAAAAAGTTGAATACATAGAAAATAGACTAGTGTTTATCAGGGGCGGAGAAAGGGAGAAAGTGAGGGAGATGTAAGTCACAAGGTATAAATTTGCAGCTACATATGATGAATCATTCTAGAGATCTAATGTATAGCAGGAGGTCTATAATTAATATTCTATTATATATTAAAATTTTGCTAAGAGAGTAGAAATTAGGTGCTCTTACCACACACAAGAGGTAACTATGAAAGGTAATGAATATGTTAGTTTGCTTACCTGTGTTAAACTTTTTACTGTGTATATGTTTATCAAAACATCATGTCATACCCCTTATGTATATACAATATATATTTGTAAAAGACACATTTGAAAAATATAATTCGACTTAGGAAAAAAGAGCTTCTTTAAATAGATTATTACATTTGAAATAATGTTTTGTATAAGTGGAGGGGGACTATACCAATAGGAAGAGGAGAACTACTGAAATTAAGAGCATGCTCCTGATTATGAGATTTGCAAGGATCTCAAAGTCAGGCACAAAAGGACTTCCCTGTGTAAGGAAGAGTAAACGAAGCTAGAAAAAAAAGAGGTGTAAGAAAATAGAAAGAGTAAATGCAGTTTATGTTGTACATACATAAGTACATACAGAGTACAGTTGAGCAGTGAATGTTTTACCTTGAGGTCAGCCTATTTTCTCCAGAAGGAGTCTTAAGGAGCTTTTTTACATGCTGGCTCAAGCTGAAGGTGGGTCAAAGTTCAGGGGCTTGGGGGACAAAGAGAAGCTTAACCACAATTTGATCAAGTCAGATTTTTTCAATAGCTCACTGGTGACACATAGTTCAGCTAATTATTTATGAGTGGAAGACTCAAAATTTGAAAGGGTTCTGCCTGGCCTTGTCATAGTAATAAACAAGGAGAGAATCCATGAGTAACATGGGAAGTAGTCCTTCTATAGTAAGCCTTTTCCTGGAACACAACATGAATTTTTGAACATCTCTGTTTTCCAGGTCCAAAATAGTCAAGGTACATGTATGTAGGTGGATATGTTTTTACTTTTCTATAAGTAGCTATAAACAGAATCTCTGGGTCTTGGGGTGTCAAAGAAAAATTGCGCTGGACAGAGTAATGAAAATGAAGATTTTATTCAATATTCTTGCAATAGGAAAGAGAGATTGAACTCAACTCCACTGAATCAAATTGTAAGCTAGTAGAAAAGTACTAAAGGATGTCAGAGGAAGGCTGGTCAAAGTGTTCAGAACATATGTGTTGGCTAATTGGTGCTTAGCTTCTACTTTCCCACAGAGACCATGGAAGATAGGATAGGGGCACTCACTTTCTTGATGACTACATTTCAAATGAATGGCTTTCAGGTCATTGAGAATGACATTTCCTAGGTCCTAAAACTGGCAGGAGGCTGAAAGTATTTATATTTCAAAGCAGCAGAAAAAGACTTTATAACTGAAAGTCTTCCAGAGTAAATGTTCTAAGAAAAGTAAGGTTAGGTGCCTATATGAGGAAGAAACTTGTCTGATGTCTAGTCAAGTTGTTGAGAACATCAAGGTCAACTCCATCAACAGTAAGTTGACTTTTACCTTTCTAAGAAACTACCAAGTTGTTTTTCATGATAGTTGTGCCATTTTTTAGTTTTACTGTTTTATGCCAGAAACTTGCAACAACCCATCAGCAGGTGAAAGAATAAACAAATTGTGGTATATCTAAACAATAGAAAAATGCTCACAAATAAAATGAAAGCTGATATATGAAAAGACATAAGTGACGGTCACCTTATATCCATTAAAAGATGTCAGACAGGAAATAATACTTACTATATTATTCCATTTATATAAAAGTTTGAAAAGATAAGTCACATGTATAGTGAAAGAAAGTAGTTCAGTAGTTGCCTGGGGCTAGGGATAAGTCTGGGAAAGGAAGTAAGGAGGCTTTTACTGGGAGGATACAAATATTATATAGATCAATTGTAAAGGACTTGCATGGGCATATTAATTTATCAAAACTCACCAAAATGTATACCTCTAATGAATACATTTAATATTTTGTAAATAAAGCTCAATAAATTCTATTTCAAAAGCACAAATGCTGTAAGACATAATATCACTAAATCACTAAACCCACGTGTAGGAAGAAAAACACACATGTCAATTACTTTTCATTTTTATTGTGCAAAGTTAATAATTAGTTTTTTACTTATGTAAGAAAAAGATGTCTGGAGATCAGAGTATCTATGACCTCAGGCTCTTAAAAACAAAGCAGAAGGGTGGGGTAAGATCTTATTGAAATTTAAATTAATTTATTCATACTTTCTCTTGTTATGATTAGCAAGAAAGAGCAAAAAGTTCCCTAAGATATTCATAAGTGGTAACAAAATGTTCCCTGAGCTACTCAGTTCCTTGTTCTTTTTCCAATCTCCCTGTAAACACCTTTTAACTTCAAAGCATGTAAAACAGCACAATGTTCAAATAACCTAGAGAATGTTTGTTTTGGAGAAAGATATATATTTTTTCTGCCTAAGAGGTGAATGAATTTGAAGAGCTGTGTATTTACCTGTACTATGATTATCTAAGTTGTCTAGATTATTTTGCTATTCTGATAAAATTTTAGGAACATTTCGTCTACGTATTTAGTGTGCTAGCAAAATAAATGTGAGTCTTGCAGATTTGAGCAGAAAGACAAGTGAAGCTTGATTTCTTTGACAGGGGTTACTGGTCTACTTGATCAACGAATGGCTACAGATAATATGTCTTGATTTCTATTGGAACGTGACAATTTATGACATGAGATCCTGTGAGCCAGATAAACATTTTTATATGTTATAAAGAAAGGGTTGGAATTAATTGGTTAATCATGCAAACACAAAGTTGATAATAGTGATGGGAATAGCAGCATACCTACAACTTGGTCTTTGTCTCTTTTTAGTTAAAATCTTTGTCACTGATTTTACCAAACATCTTGATGGTGTGCCTGTCATTAGTTTGTTTGTCCTAAGGCTATTACCCTTCCTCTACCTCCTGTTCTGTTCAGCCTCTCAGAGGACTGGCCTGTCCAACTATAGACTCCCTCACAATTAGAGGATATTGGTAGAAAAGTGCAAGAGTGAGGAATGGAGGAAGGGAAAAAGGAAGAAGCTAGGAAATGTGTTCCTATCACTCTGTGTGTTAGATGGCTTTTTCTCTCTATTTCAGTTTCTTCTCAAAAGTGCCATTTTCTGTGTTCCTGACTCTTGCTGGGAAGCCCCCATGGTGTTTCCAGCTCCCTCATACAGCCTCCCATCAGCACTCAAGTTCAGCACCTTGTGCTTGATGGTGTTTTCTAAGATTGCTAATCTCTGAGTCTTCCTACTGCCCCTTCTTTGGCTTTTATCTCTTTCATACCTTTGTTAACTATTTTTTCATGTTAACTTTACTCCACTGAACTACCTGCCATGAACTCTGTTTCTCTGAATTTCCCTTTATTCTCACTGATACAGGTGCCATGTTTGTTAACATTGTAGATGGCATGAAAGTAGGATGGTCAAGGGGGTAGAATTATAATGTATCTTGACAAATGTATTTTTCATTTTATGCAGATATAATCCATTTTTTCAGAGTCTAAGATGTAAGATTTGATTCGTATATACATACCTATGAGTTTTATAGTCATAGAAAATTGACTGTAACTATATGCTTCATAAGGTAACTCAATAGAGGTTTATGAATTTGTGCTCAGGATAAGAAGGCATGTGTATATTCTGGGAAAAGATGCTAAGATAAAAGTCTTAGTACAAAAGTATCAGCACCTGTGAAGGAAAGAGGGAGAAAACAGGTTTGGACAGAGAAAAAGGTCAAATTTTAATGCAGTCCTGAAAAAGACTTGGCAAGCAGGTAGGAAATACTAGAGAGATGACTGCCTTTCAGAATGTCCCACATAGGGCCTAAGGACCATGAGTTCCTGGCTCTCGTAGCCATGCCTTACTCTCCAGATGCAAGTTATCCATGGAAAGATGAGAGAGTTTTCTGTAGCGGAGGTGGACTCAAAAGAAACTGGAACTTGCCAAATGCCACAACCTACTCCATACCAGCCCCTACACCTCACAGCTGGGTAGAAAGTCTTTCCTTGAAGGGTATCAGGGTGGTGCATCTTCTGGTATTCCACAGCCTGGCTTTAAGTACTGGATCTCATTTTTACTCATTTTGTAATCTTGGAAAACTTTTAATGTCTATATGCCTCAGTTTACTCCTTTATAAAATGAAATAATAATATCTACGTGTAATGGTTAGCTTTATGTTTCAACTTGGCCAGGCTTTGGTGTCCAGAGATTTGGTCAAGCAGTAGTCTAGATGTTGCTATCAGGCTATTTTTCAGATGTATTTAATGCCTAAATCAGTAGATGTTTAGGAAATCAGAATATACTTAGTAATGTGGGTGGGCCTCATTCCATCAGTTGTGAGCTTTAAGTTAAAAGACTGAGGTCCCCGAAGAAGAATAAATTTTGCCTTTAAATTGCTTTTAGACTCAAGAATGCAACATCAACTCATAAAAGTTTTCAGCCTGAACTGTTATGTGGCTTAAATACATTGGGCTGCATAGCACAGTGCTTGACAAATAGTAAGGACACAATATATTGGCTCCTACTGTTTACCAGGTTTCTATTCATTACCAACTTAAATTCTGAATGCATTATTTTAACTTTAAAAATAATGAACCATATGTATAGGAACCCAAACCTTAATTCTTACATACGTAGTTCATTTTTTTTGAACCAACTGTATTTAAATCAATCTCAAGTACTTTAAGAAGTTTGTGTAATAATTAAATATTATACATGAAAGAAGATGTTAAATTGTACTATTTTTTATTGTAGCCCCCTAGGCACTTTGTTTTCCCAGCAAGTCTCTGAAAATTTATCATGCAGATTACAGTATAATATTAGCCATCTTTTAGTACTAGAAGACTGTAAAATTCACTCCATGGTGTTTTAATGCATGAAGGTACTTTCAGAGTGTTTTATGTAGCATAATCCATTTACTAAAACTTTCAGTGCCCCTTGTTTTATGAGGTTCTGCAAAGATGACCGATCTTCCCTAATGTTTCACCCTGGGAATTCTCCCTCGAATAAAGTTGTCTACATAGGAAGCTATGAATATAGATTCAGTTGTTTAGAGAATGAAAATCTTCCAATTATAACACTATTTATTATAAAGTTCATAAAAATATTTGCACTAAAACAAAATGTTACTGGAGAAAGATGAGTAACTCAAGCTATCCCTTAATTGTCATGCAAAAAGTTTTTGCAAAACTGTTTTTAAATGCATGGAGGCTAAATGACCGTCTGTGTAGGAATAATGTGGAGAAATTGTTCATATAAAGATTTCTCTATTTTACCCATATCTACTGGTCGAAATCCACAGGAAGAAAGCCCCACATTTCCATTTTAATAATGGAATGAATTTCTTGTGATTTACAACCCTCTGCAATTGAGTTTAAAATATAGGAAATCACTCAAAAACAACTACATAGAAATATAGTTTAAACATACATAGAAATTTATCTGAGTGAAAGAGCTGTTAAACATGAAATGCTTAGTTATCTGTTTTGTTTTTAGTGAGAAACATAGTATTTGGGTGTATTGTATGCACTTCTATGCAGACACAGTGTCAGAAAGCAATTAATTTATCTTAGAAAAAGAATTAAGTTTATATCACCTTACCACATTTATAGAAATATGTTTTAAACTAAGGCAAACCTAGTTCAATGACACAGATATGCTTTTTTGGAACTCATTGAATGATATGATATTTAAGACTCAATAACCAAGCAATTAAGTGAAAAATTTGAACATTTTGATTTGATCATATACATTCCTCAAAGCAATTTAATTTTCTTGTATAACGTTAATTATATCTGAATGATTAGCTCCTTATACCTATAGA
This sequence comes from Homo sapiens, assembly GCF_000001405.40. NCBI lineage: Eukaryota > Metazoa > Chordata > Mammalia > Primates > Hominidae > Homo > Homo sapiens. The sequence continues at coordinate 66,844,961 of NC_000006.12, read as the reverse complement.
GCTACAAATCAGCAGAACAATATGATCTGATGTCAGGTTCAAATTAAAAAGAAGGAAGTAACTAGTTATTGTCTTTTCAAATACTTTCTTCCTTAGTTCATACAATGACAGAGGAGCTGAAATTTATTTTAGTTTTTCAAATGTTTATTGAATGTATACTATGAACTAGCTACTGTTTATTAGTACCTGCCACATATATTAATAAAATGCTCTTCTTCAAGGGATTTGAAAATCAAACTTAATTAACTATGAAATTATATCTTGCATTGCATGAGAATTATGTCTACCTACAGGTACCAAAGACCCTGTCTAAGTTTCTTATTGCTACTATAACAAATTTTCAAAAATGTAAAGCTTCAAACAGCACAAATTTACTTTCTTGAAGTTCTGGTGACCGAAAGGCCAAAATCAATTTCCCCGGGCTAAAGTCAAAGAGTTAGTAGACCTGCACTGCTCCTGGAGGATCAAGGAGATGATCTATTTTCCTGCTTTTTCTTCTTGCTTTTAGAGCTACATTCTTTGGCTCATGGCTTATTCTCCCATATTCAAAAACAGCAGCTCTAGCATAGCATCTATCTATGTAATTAAATCTTCCTTTGCCTCCATCTTTTAAGAATTTTTCTAATTCTGTGAAGAAAGTCATTGGTAGCTTGATGGGAATGGCATTGAATCTACAAATTACCTTGGGCACTATGGCCATTTTCACGATATTGATTTTTCCAACCCATGAGCATGGAATGTTCTTCCATTTGTTTGTATCCTCTTTTATTTCATTGAGCAGTGGTTTGTAGTTCTCCTTGAAGAGGTCCTTCAAGTCCCTTGTAAGTTGGATTCCTAGGTATTTTATTCTCTTTGAAGCAATTGTGAATGGGAGTCCATTTATGATTTGGCTCTCTGTTTGTCTGTTATTGGTGTATAAGAATGCTTGCGATTTTTGCACATTGATTTTGTATCCTGAGACTTTGCTGAAGTTGCTTATCAGCTTAAGGAGATTTTGGGCTGAGATGATGGGGTTTTCTAGATATACAATCATGTCATCTGCAAACAGGGACAATTTGACTTCCTCTTTTCCTAATTGAATACCCTTTATTTCCTTCTCCTGCCTAATTGCCCTGGCCAGAACTTCCAACACTATGTTAAATAGGAGTGGTGAAGGAGGGCATCCCTGTCTTGTGCCAGTTTTCAAAGGGAATGCTTCCAGTTTTTGCCCATTCAGTATGATATTGGCTGTGGATTTGTCATAGATAGCTCTTATTATTTTGAGATACGTCCCATCAATACCTAATTTATTGAGAGTTTTTAGCACGAAGCATTGTTGAAGTTTGTCAAAGGCCTTTTCTGCATCTATTGAGAAAATCATGTGGTTTTTGTCTTTGGTTCTGTTTATATGCTGGATTACATTTATTGATTTGCATATATTGAACCAGCCTTGCATCCCAGGGATGAAGCCCACTTGATCACGGTGGATAAGCTTTTTGATGTGCTGCTGGATTCGGTTTGCCAGTATTTTATTGAGGATTTTTGCATCAATGTTCATCAAGGAGATTGATCTAAAATTCTCTTTTTTGGTTGTGTCTCTGCCAGGCTTTGGTATCAGGATGATGCTGGCCTCATAAAATGAGTTAGGGAGGATTCCCTCTTTTTCTATTGATTGGAATAGTTTCAGAAGGAATGGTACCAGTTCCTCCTTGTACCTCTGGTAGAATTCCGCTGTGAATCCATCTGGTCCTGGACTCCTTTTGGTTGGTAAGCTATTGATTATTGCCACAATTTCAGATCCTGTTATTGGTCTATTCAGAGATTCAACTTCTTCCTGGTTTAGTCTTGGGAGGGTGTATGTGTCAAGGTATTTATCCATTTCTTCTAGATTTTCTAGTTTATTTGCATAGAGGTGTTTGTAGTATTCTCTGATGGTAGTTTGTATTTCTGTGGGATTGGTAGTGATATCCCCTTTATCATTTTTTATTGCGGCTATTTGATTCTTCTCTCTTTTCTTTTTTATTAGTCTTGCTAGCGGTGTATCAATTTTGTTGATCCTTTCAAAAAACCAGCTCCTGGATTCATTAATTTTTTGAAGGGTTTTTTGTGTTTCTATTTCCTTCAGTTCTGCTCTGATTTTAGTTATTTCTTGCCTTCTGCTAGCTTTTGAATGTGTTTGCTCCTGCTTTCCTAGTTCTTTTAATTGTGATGTTAGGGTGTCAATTTTGGATCTTTCCTGCTTTCTCATTTAGTGCTATGAATTTCCCTCACACACTGCTTTAAATGTGTCCCAGAGATTCTGGTATGTTGTGTCTTTGTTCTCGTTGGTTTCAAAGAACATCTTTGTTTCTGCCTTCATTTCGTTATGTACCCAGTAGTCATTCAGGAGCAGGTTGTTCAGTTTCCATGCAGTTGAGTGGTTTTGAATGAGTTTCTTATTCCTGAATTCTAGTTTGATTGCACTGTGGTCTGAGAGACAGTTTGTTATAATTTCTGTTCTTTTACATTTGCTGAGGAGAGCTTTACTTCCAACTATGTGGTCAATTTTGGAATAGGTGTGGTGTGGTGCTGAAAAAAAAATGTATATTCTGTTGATTTGAGGTGGAGAGTTCTGTAGATGTCTATTAGGTCTGCTTAGTGCAGAGCTGAGTTCAATTCCTGGGTATCCTTGTTAACTTTATGTCTCGTTGATCTGTCTAATGTTGACAGTGGTGTGTTAAAGTCTCCCACTATTACTGTGTGGGAGTCTAAGTCTCTTTGTAGGTCACTCAGGACTTGCTTTATGAATCTGGATGCTCCTGTATTGGGTGCATATATATTAAGGATAGTTAGCTCTTCTTGTTGAATTGATCCCTTTACCATTACGTAATGGCCTTCTTTGTCTTTCTTGATCTTTGTTGGTTTAAAGTCTGTTTTATCAGAGACTAGGATTGCAACCCCTGCCTTTTTTTGTTCATATGGAACCAAAAAAGAGCCTGCATCACCAAGTCAATCCTAAGCCAAAAGAACAAAGCTGGAGGCATCACGCTACCTGATTTCAAACTATACTACAAGGCTACAGTAACCAAAACAACATGTTACTGGTACCAAAACAGAGATATAGATCAATGGAACAGAACAGAGCCCTCAGAAATAATGCCGCATATCTACAACTATCTGATCTTTGACAAACCTGAGAAAAGCAAGCAATGGGGAATGGATTCCATATTTAATAAATGGTGCTGGGAAAACTGGCCAGCCATATGTAGAAAGCTGAAACTGGATCCCTTCCTTACACCTTATACAAAAATTAATTCAAGATGGATTAAAGACTTAAACATTAGACCTCAAACTATAAAAACCCCAGAAGAAAACCTAGGCATTACCATTCAGGACATAGGCATGGGCAAGGACTTCATGTCTAAAACACCAAAAGCAATGGCAACAAAAGCCAAATTGACAAATGGCATCTAATTAAACTAAAGAGCTTCTGCACAGCAAAAGAAACTACCATCAGAGTGAACAGGCAACCTACAAAATGGGAGAAAATTTTTGCAACCTACTCATCTGACAAAGGGCTAATATCCAGAATCTACAATGAACTCAAACAAATTTACAAGAGAAAAAACAAACAACCCCATCAAAAAGTGGGCAAAGGACATGAACTTCTCAAAGGAAGACATTTATGCAGCTAAAAAACACATGAAAAAATGCTCACCATCACTGGCCATCAGAGAAATGCAAATCAAAACTACAATGAGATACCATCTCACACCAGTTAGAATGGCAATCATTAAAAAGTCAGGAAACAACAGGTGCTGGAGAGGATGTGGAGAAATAGGAACACTTCTACACTGTTGGTGGGACTGTAAACTAGTTCAACCCTTGTGGAAGTCAGTGTGGTGATTCCTCAGGGATCTAGAACTAGAAATACCATTTGACCCAGCCATCCCATTACTGGGTATATACCCAAAGGACTATAAATCATGCTGCTATAAAGACACATGCACACGTACGTTTATTGCGGCACTATTCACAATAGCAAAAACTTGGAACCAACCCAAATGTCCAACAATGATAGACTGGATTAAGAAAATGTGGCACCTATACACCATGGAATACTATGCAGCCATAAAAAATAATGAGTTCATGTCCTTTGTAGGGACATGGATGAAATTGGAAATCATCATTCTCAGTAAACTATCACAAGAACAAAAAACCAAACAGCATATATTCTCACTCATAGGTGGGAATTGAACAATGAGAACACATGGACACAGGAAGGGGAACATCACACTCTGGGGACTGTTGTGGGGTGTGGGGAGGGGGGAGGGATAGCTTTTGGAGATATACCTAATGCTAAATGACGAGTTAATGGGTGCAGCACACCAGCATGGCACATGTATACATATGTAACTGACCTGCACATTGTGCACATGTACCCTAAAACTTAAAGTATAATAATAATAAAATAAATAAATAAATAAATGAAAAATAAATCTTAATATTGTAGAAAAAAGAAGAATTTTTCTAATGAAATTGGGTCCACACAGATAATATACAATGATCTATCCTAAGATCCTTAATCTAGTCAGATACAAAAAGTCATCTTTTCTATACAAGAAATATTCACAGATGCCAGGGATTAGGTCTTGACTATCTTCAGAAGTGATTTCCAGCCTTTCACAAAGCCCCAAACAGTGTCTCAAGCCAAAATAGAAGGGTACTTTTCCTTCCTATAAGTAAAAATTTGGTGTAGGAGATAGAAGCTAGAGTGACAGCCCTGCAGTGTTGTCAGGGAAACAGAATCATTTCAGCTCTCTTCTACACCATTCTTCAAATGCTTTTAAGATGGATTCTGGAGCTCTAGCTATTGTAACTATACTTTATGCTTTAGGTAAAAGAAAGAGTGGAGGAGCAAAGATATATAAATCTGCTGTCTCATTCTCTTTAACGAAGCTTATCCAGAAATTCCACCCAAGAACTTCATGTCACTTCTCATTGACTAGTGCCCACTCACACGTTCTTGTCTGCTTATATAGAAGACGCGGTATGAAATTTTTTAGCTATAGATTGTTGCCTATATAACATTGTGTTTGGGAAGAGGAAAATGGGAATTGGGTACTAGTATCTGCTGTTATACATCAATATTTATTAAGTCACTTTATAAACCTATATTTTTGGCATATCTATAATAAAATGCATACATTATTAAGTCAGTAATTATATCATTTCATAGTAAGATCATTGCTTACACAGTAAAATACAAACTCTTGTTGCTGAAATACACCATCTTTAAAAGTTGAGGCCGTTTCTTTGGGTGTGTGTGAAAAAAAGGAGATTGAGTATTTGACAATTATGCTGTATCAGAAATACATGGCAGCTGTTATTGTATCATGCAATACAATCCACAGACACTAAGATTATAATGCCAGTGCTGGAAACAAAAAGTTGAAAGAACCGCAGATGAAGATGACTCAATTTGCTTGTTTTTCTGAAGAACGAGAGAATTATTCTGCAAGGATTTGGGGCAGAAATTTGAAATAGTCTATTCCATTTTGTCTTATCTCCTGATTAGGTAGCTGAGATCTGAGTAACAAATCCTAGTATAGGCATTATACAGAAACATTCCCAATAAGTTTCCATTTTTTCTACTCAAAGTATACTATTAAAATGAAAACATATTAGTAAATTATGCTCTATAGAATAAAATATAAAATAGGATAATTTCTGGAAATTTAAAAAAAAATGTTAGATTTTAGGGTTCGGTTTACTGTTTTAAAATATCTTGAAAACACTTTGCTCTGTTTACCACATCCTCAGTGCTATTTATCTTGAGTGAAAAAGCTAAGTATACTCTTGTTTTTTTTATTTTTAGCCTCCCACAGCTGTTTACATTAAAAATTGCATCTAGACAGAATTGCTTCCCTGTGGCACAAACCACATTGTTTTGCTTTGGGGTTTCAAACATCGGAGGTAACTTTGAAATGTTCAGCTAAGTGCCTTGCACTCAATAACGTGACACTACTCCCTCCTCGTGCTATTCCGTCTCACTTGCTGCTCCCTTTTAGGTGCTTTTGTGACATCAGTCCCTCTGACTCATCTTAAATGTTGAGATTTATCCCAGTTATTTTCCTGTCTCTGCACTTGCTCTCCCTAGGAGATTTCATTGTCCTTGTCTTGTTTATGGCATTCATATCTGTATCCCCAGCGTAAATCTCTCCTGTAAGCTGCAGCTCTTTAAGTTTAAATGCCTATTAGAGTTTTCCATTGAAATGTCTCACAGATACCTACAGCTGAGCCTGTTCAAAGCTAAAATCTCTCCCATTTCCTACATATCTACCCTCTCTCTTTTGTCTCTTCTATTAATGAAAGGCACTATCATTCACTCAATAGCTGAGGTAGGGAACAAGGCATTACTGCACGCCTTACTCTCATTTGTGGCCCTCACCTCTACCTCAGCCCTATCCAGTTACTATGTTCTATAAACATTCATTTCAAAATATCTTTAGAATCCCTTCACTCTATTCATCCAAATCCACCACAGATGTTCACATTAAGATGAAAATTCCTATTCTGAATAATCCACAGCTTTGCAACTGGCCTTAAGATTTTTGCATTGACACATCATCTTCCCAGTCCTAACCCTCATTGCAATGCACTCTTCTGAAAGCTTGTGTCTGATCATGTTTATCTCCACTTAAAAACTCTTGGCTTTAAACCCAGCTTCTTTGAGATGACTAGAAAAGTCCTTCATAATTCAGGTTCTGTTTTTCTCTCCAGGAACATCTCATTCTTCCCACTGCACACTCCAAATTTACTAAACTTTTTTTTTTTTAATTCCTGACTATGTCATAAACTTTCCTAATTGTGCATACTTACTAAGCATAAGATCTGTTCTTTCCATCTGAATACCTCTTTAATTCAAGTGCTAATAAATGCTTTGGATCAGAGTTTAAATGTTTCAACCCTTTCTGTTTCCCCAACCTAATAAGAATAACACAAATACACCACACCATGTGATCTACTCTTGTAAGATCCCTTTATCTTTGCTGTTCTTCCCTTAGACATTCAGCTTCAAAGAGTCTCTGTGTGCTTGTATTAATGAATACAATAATCTTACATTTACCTCTATTGTTTTAAAAGATGACTAGTTTCTGTCCTAATCCCTATAAAGAAGATTTTAAAAATCAACATCCAGTGTCTAAGAGAGGAGGTGTGTATTAGGGGACAGTGATCACAATAGGAAGCAATATAAAGACAACAAAAATATGACTGTCTTCCTTAACCTGCTTTTTAAAAACTGGCCTGAGGAGCGCGGTGGCTCACACTTGTAATCTCAGCACTTTGGGACTCCAAGGCAGGTGGATCACCTGAGGTGAGGAGTTCGAGACCAGCCTGACCAACATGGTGAAACCTTGTTTCTACTAAAAAAGAAAAAAAAAAAAGAAAAGAAAAAAAATTGCTGGATGTGGTGGCGGGCGCCTGTAATCCCAGCTATTCTGGAGGTTGAGGCAGGAGAATTGCTAGAACCTGGGAGGCAGACATTGCAGTGAGCCGAGATTCTGCCATTGTACTTCAGCCTGGGGGACAGAGCGACACTCCCCCTCAAAAAAAAAAAAAAAAAAAAAACTGGCCTGAGGAAAGGAGAGGAAGCTAACATTCCTTAGATTTGTGTGTTCTTTGATGCAGGAAACACTCAGAAATACCTTGAATGCTCTCTTACTTTTTTTGAACCATCTCTATGAGATAGAAAACTCCATTCTAATTAGTTCACTCAGCCAAAATATATTTGGAAGCTTAGTTAGTTTTCATGATTGTCCACAGGGATTACCGAACTGTCTTTAACCCTCGTTTATATGATTTTCTGATTCAGATCACAGTAACTTAGAATAAACAAAGCAGCAGAAAAGATTAAATACATTAAAAGGTATTCAAGCAGGACAGTAACAGGTTAAGTCCAAGCCTGAGAGAAGAGAGCAAAATACTTTCTTGATGAGAATATTTAACTCAGAAAAATAAATATTATTTTTTTACATACACCTATTCACTCATTCAATATATCTTACTAAACAGTATCACATAGAGCAAAACTATTACATTAATAAGTAATTCAACCAAGAAGAAAAGAGGAAACGGTGCTAAAGTTGGTGAATACATTTGATTAAATGAAATATTTATATAGTTTTTCCACAAAATGCTTAGTTTACAAAAGGAAAAATAGTCTACAGAGTCATTACACTCTGTGGTACTAGTGTAGAGTCATCAGATATCTCCTTAGTCAAGTAATCAATGTTAAAATCACCAGTAATGGGGGGAATTAAAATGTGCACCATCTAATGGATTCAGTGAGAACAATGCATCATAACTCCGATGATATTCTGCCAAAATTGCATTACCGGAATTGAATCATGAGGAAACATCAAACAAACCCAAATTGAGGCCCATTCTTTAAAATAACTGCTGATAACTTCAAAAGTTTCAAGGTCATGAATGTCAATGCAAGACTGTGGAGTTATTACAGAATGAGGGAAAGTAGAGAGACTAATAATAAATGTAACATGTTATTCTAGATTGAATCATTTTCCTATGAAGGACATTATTATAATAATTAGGGAATCATAAATAGTGATTTGGAATTAGAAGATAACATATCAATGTTAATTTCTTGATTTTTGTGTTGATACTTTGATTACAAAATATAATATTTTTTTTCTGTAGGAAATATTCACTAGAGATTTTAGGATGACAGGGACATTCATTTAGCAATTTACTCTCAAAAGTCCTAGGAAAAACAAAAAGTCTCTTACTTGCTGTTTTACTGTAAAATTGAAATTATTTAAAATAAATCATAAAATTCAAGAAAAAAGATAAAAAGGACTTGTCAAATAAAATTGAATACAAATTCTGACTCTGTTGTCTGAGAACTATTTTATCTCAAAACAATTTATGTAAGCTTTATTTGATTTATCTATATATTCCACCTCACAGTATTACTTTGATAATCAAATAAGATAATTTATGTTATATTTTTAGTAATATGACATTTAATATTTTAGAAATTTAATAAATATTACTCCTCAACCCCAATTCATTATAATGAAGTTTCAGTGTTCACATCTTAATAAAAATAAGTTATTTTGTCCATTCACGTATATTTCTGTATTTTTCTTTCTCCTACATCTTCCTACAGTAACAAAATTTACCTCCCTTCTGTTTTATGGAATACTATATGAAGTTTACATAAAAACATTCTAGCATCACAAAAGTAAAAGTTTTCGAAGACTGTTCACACAAAAATTTAATTCATATTTTTAGTAGAAGTATGTTTCCATTTTATTCTTTTTGAATTTAAATTTTATTAAATGTTTTATTTATTATTTTTATTAATATGTAAAGTCTCACTCATTTTTGTGACACACCACCTATAATATTCTAAAATATAATTTCCACAGTGTCTAAAGTTATTTGTGACTGCTAATTAATGAAATAGAGCCCAAGAAAACTAAATAATTAAAGATAATCTTGGAGCTAGATTTTCTTTTTAAATTAGCGTTAAAATTGTGCATCTCAAACTTGACTCCATGTTAGACTTACCTGGTCAGGTTTATAAATATTCACATGCCCACACAGCACCCAAGAGTATGATATAATTGGCAAGGGTGATGCATGAGCATTGCCTTTTTTTTCAAGCAGCTAGGAGAGAAACATGGACACAAACAGAGTTGAAAAACTTCAGGCTAGATATGTTGGTAATGATAATCATTCAGTTTATTCCCTTCTGTTCTAGCATGCTATTGTAAGAATAATTGAGCAAGGAATATATGAAAATTGGCAATGAATCTTCTATTCTTGGGGAATCAAAAGCATCATTTTATTTTTATATAAGTGGATTGATAATAATATAAAAATTAAATGTAATAACTGTGTAATCTAAAATGTTGTTCCAGATGTTGTTGACATTTTGTATTTTAGTCAAGAGAAGTTTATCTATCAAGTTCTATGTAAAATTTATAAAACACAAACACATTCATTCTGTGAAATGCCTCGTTAATCTTCATTTTCAACAGAACCTAGCACAGACCAAAAGGATGTAGAACAATCTGAGAACTAACATTTTATTATTTACTGTTATAATTCCTCAATAAATCATTCTTATTGAAAACCAAATGATCACATTATTTCATCACATTTCAGTCTCTATTAGCACAAACATTATTATTCATTTTCCTGAATCTGTCTATACATTCCTTATGTAGTACATTCAATTGATTTAAATATAATCCTCAAGGCCAGAGTTTGAGTTGTATGCATGTCTACATCCCTAGTCCAAAGTAGAGTGCCTGATCAAGTTGAGTGAATAGGTGAAGGAGAAGCTAATATGATTTTTTGGTTCATTTTTAGACATTTTTGGTTCTCCTAATTTGGTTCTCCAAATTATGACTCTTTATCCCTCACATGAAGTCATTTCAGCTGACATACATTGTATTTTACATTTTTCCTACACAATCTGTGAAAATAAAATTTAACTCTTTATCTAAAATGTTGTTCCAGACATTATTGATGTTTTGTATATTAGGCAAGAAGAGCTACCTAATCTTTTCATATAGTCAGTTCGCAAAACAAAAGTTTTTGAGACTATTGCTAAGAAGTTGGAGTTGAATGTATGTATAATGAAAAAGTATCAAAGCGTGACCTGTCTTAATAAAGGGGCTCATATGCATAAAATACTGCTTAAATGAATTCATGTCTATCAAAATACACTGCACTCTTTAGTTGAAGAAAACCATTCTACTTAAGAGATACTACTTAATCTATGTAAGTATAAATTAATAAATATGAGTTATAAATGAAAACTCTTCTTAATATACACTTTAATTCTTTATATAAGATTCTCAGCTTTCTTCTGACGTTAGTATCTTGTTCAGCTTCCTTCTTTGTAAAGGTGGCTGAGTTGATCAATTATATAGCATTGCAGCCTTTGGCTTTATGCCTTTTCTTGTCCTTGGCATTCTCTTTGCCTCTTTATGATAACAAGGATAATCCCTTCTTCAGTGGGCTCCTGTGGGGCTATAGCATCAAGGCTCTCAATAAAAATCTGAACAGTTCAACAATTTTTATTGAGTCTTGATTGAACAGCCCCGAGGGAGCTAAGCACAGAAAAGAAGAGATAGAAAAAGTAGTCAAGAGCTGTAATAGCCTCAGTCTAAGGACATAGAGCACCAGTCCAACAGAACTGGCAATATCTAAAATTTAACAGCTTGGCATCAGTGCGCATCTCCTGATGCCAAATAATGAGGCACAGAGAAGAGAAATAAAAGTGGCACTGAAATTACATTTTTATTTTCCTTTTATTATGAAACTCCAGAAATTACAACAGAATTGGGAATGGCCAAAGACAACATTCTTTGGTTTCCTTTAAGTGAAATCTTAACTTTCAAAAACATAGGAGGTACATAATAAATAATGGAAAATCTGCTGGCACTACTAAAGATACTTTATCACCACTAGGTCTTCCTCAGACCTTTGAAATCTCACAGCATTAATTTCTCCTCCTTTAACCAAGTTGTTAGTGAAGACAGAGCATGGCAATTAAATAAAAGAGTTCCACCCCCACCGCCAAAAAAAAGAAAGAAAAAAAAACCATGAAGATGGACATAGTTCCACAAAAAGGAGATTTTTTTTGAGTTAATAGAAGAATTAGAAAGTAGCAACATTCATTATTTTTATAGGAGTCAATAGAATGCTTACTGAGAGCTCTGGCCAGTTTGCTGTTGTTCCTTACAATATATGACAAATTTTGTGTAAAGCTGTTAAGTAAAAACAACTTTCTCTGGTCAAATAGATGATTGGTGGAACTCTGAATAGAAAAAAAAAAGATAGTATTAAACTCTGTAAAACTCTCTGCATTATACAATATTGTAATTCTTCAAGTATGTGTAAAATATGCAACATTTCCTAAATTATGTATTTACTTTTCAAAGCATTTTGAAGCAGAGCACTAAACATGTACAAGGAAAAATAGAAATAGCTCAAAAACCTCATTGATATAGCACATCCAAAAGCTTAATATGTTCCTATCAGATTGTCACAATTTTAATAACGGACTTCTGCATTAGATAGGAAAATTATTATGTGCTCCTGATACATACTTATTCCTAGAGATGAGGAAACTAAAGCTAAGGAAGGCAGCACAATAAACAGTATCATGAGATAAAAACAGAAATAGATTCGTCTCCCTTTATTTGTGGGACATACATTCCGAGACTCTCAGTAGATGCCTGAAACTGTGAATAGTATCGAACTCTATATACACTGCTTTTCCATTTAATAAATGAGAAGACTATCATGTGACTGATGGGTGGGTGGCACAGGCAGTATGACTATGCTGGACAAAGAAATGATTGACGTCCTGGGCAGGATGGAGATTGGATGGTGCAAGATTTCATCACAGTCCTCAGATAGGCATGCAACTTAAAATTTATAAATGGTTTATGTTAGTACTTTTTCATTTAATATTTTTGGACCACATTTGACCACAAGTAACAGAAAATGCAAAAAGTGATACCATGGATGGAGGGCAGGGGAAAATATGGTACACACGTTTAGATCTCTTTCTTAGATTCAAGTTCCAAGAGGAACAACTCTTAACGGATATTGCCTTGGAGAATAAGGTTCTCTCAGCTTGTACTCATCTTAAAAGAAAACAAAACATTAGATAAATTAAATTTAATACAGTTTAATTTAGCAACGAACAGTTTGTGAATTGGGCAGCCCCCAGAACCATTCAGAATGACTCCAGGGCTGCTACATGGTTAAGCAAAATTTATGGACAAAGAAAGGGAAATGATTTACAGAAAATGGAAGTGACATATAGAGACAGTCTGTGGACTGCTCAGCTGCTGTAATTGGCTGGGACACCTAAGTTTGATTTTCAGTTTGTTTACATAATGAATTAGGTTGCAGTTTGTTACTTAGGATTCATATGCAGACTTCTAGAGCCCAAAGTCAGTTTCATTTAATATACTTTGACAATTTCAGTTTTAGGGACTGGTTTTTCTCAATATAGATGTCAAGAGATCAGTCAAATTTGTTATCCAGAGAGAGACAACACACTCTCTATACCCAGGGATCTACACCTTACTAAATCAGAAATTCTGAGGGGATCTGCAAGTTTATTTTCTATCTATCTATCTATCTATCTATCTATCCATCTATCATCTATCTATATGTATCCTATATAAAACTACATATTGATCTTTCTATCTCTATCTATATATATTTTAGATTTATATATAATAAACTTCCAGACTTTTCAGAATTTATAAATATATTTTTAAATTATATATTAAAATTTGTGATTACATGTATTTGTAATTTTTGATTGCATATATTATTTCAAAATGTGTGTGTGTGTGTGTGTGTGTGTTTATTAAACTTTTAGATCTTTCAGAAAGAAAACCACTGGGAAATACACTTGAACTGGCAAAATAATTTATCAATATGTGAACAGTGAGGCTTCATTACAATGGGTTGGGGTTGAGAAGTAATATTTATTGAATTCCTAAAATATAGCAGTTTATCTGTGTGTACATTGGTTTATATACTGTTTTTAATAAAAAAGAAAACATAATGAACAGCATAAATTTGGATGTTGATTAGTGAAATGAAGGAAACAACTAGAGAAAGAGAGAGAGACAGAGAAGGATGGAGAGCCACTGAAGGAAGGCATGATTGAAAAATATGACTCTGGTTTATTTGTAGGCAATTGGCTACACAGCTATAAAGAAGAGACAGGAGAATCAGTTAGAAGGCTAATAAAATAATTTAGATGTAATTATCAGGACGACTTTAGGAAGAAATACTTAGGAAAATTATACAAATTCAAAATTTACCAGGCACACACACACACGTGTGTGTGTGTGTGTGTGTGTGTAAGCAGAAACACAAGCCAACTGGTTGAGAGAACAGAGTTAAGACACTAGCTAGAATAACCTTGCAGAGTTAGTCTCTCATGACAACACCCCACAGGTAATACAGTGACAACCAAATGTCACAACCTAGAAGTACAGGAGGATTGACTATGGGAGGTGTACCTAGAAATGTAAATTCCTCCACTTATATAGAATTGAGAATATCCCCCCTCCTATAAGAGGAAGAAGAACCTTGGTTTCTTACAATTTCTAATATAAATACATACATCTTTCCAGGGAGAAGAAAAGATAGAATATCTGGGGTCTTCTAAAAGATTCTTAAAAGATTCTTAAGAGATATTCATCCTTAAGAAATTATATGATGTAGAAAAAGAATACATGCCTTTGGAGATCTATGAACTAATCAGTCATCTTTCCCTTAACCCAATTTATTTTTTAAATATACAAGCATGTGAAAGAAGTAGAATCCCAAGTTAAATGAGGTCTTTTTCTATAATTATATATTGAGTCTATGCTCATCCTTTTATCTAAGGGAAATTCAAGGTGACAAATATAAATTGCCTAGTTAATATTAGGTTGGGAAGTACCAGATCATCTGGGTGAGTGCCCTACGGGAAAAAAAACATGGTATCAGCAATATAATTAAAATAATTTTCGATGAATCAGACACAAGATGACCATGTTGTTTTCAATCAATTTTGTATCCAACAGAGGATAAATACTATTTATGTTAATCGCACACATGGGAAACTCTAAGACATATTCTGTATTTTCTCCTGCTACACAGGAAGCAGAAGCTGTCAATTCATTTAAATCAATAAAGCAGAATTATTATCCTGCTGTGATTCTCCAGGTTCAGATTGTCACTAGGAATAACAAAACAGGCTGAACTAATTTTAGTTGAACTACTGAGGCCACTCATACAACTTATGTGGAAAGGGTAACTGGAGAGCCTGCACCTGGTCTTAAAAACAAGGCTATAGAACAACGATGGATAAGCTTGGAAGATGCCATTGAATGCGTTTCTCAGAATACACACTGTTGTATGTAATGGATCAATAGGCTATAAGATCCGAAAATCAGTGTGATATTGATAACTTGATAAATTTGTTGCTAAATTCGGAGGATATAATACTAGTTTGGTTTTGCACAGTATTTTAATTGTTTAAAATTATCAATTGAAAACAATATTATTTCAAAGAAGTTATCTTAATCCAAGTAATTCACTATAGGAAAAATATTGAACTATATTGACTTTAAAAACTTTATATTCACATTGTTTCAAACATAAACAAATTACTTTACTAATTACTTTATCCCTTCCTATGAAAAGTGAGAGAGAGTTATGTAATAAGGAAACTAAAGAATAATAATAATGAGAGGAGGCCATTGTTTAATTTTCTTTCATTATTTCAGATTTTCTCACATTTAGAAGTGGGAAAAATACAAATTGTTCTTATTTAAGCTCTTAAAAAATACTTAGATATTTGGTAAAATATTTAAAGAATTAGATAAGGAAAGTCCAGAAAAGGCAGCTGAGTAGGGAATTAAAATTTTGAAATACTTGATATTGTAGTTTTATTAGAGTAATACCTTGTGTTCCAAGTTATCCAGATATTTAGGGATGTCAAATATGTATTCATCTTTGTTTCTTATTAATGCCACAATGACACAGAGTCTGACATTTTCTCTTCTTTTCTGTTGTTGATATTACTTTTCTTGGTTTTTGAAGAGAGCAGTCCAAAGAATAAATTTAAAGTCCAGTTAACTACACACGACATGAAGTAAAATATTATTACATTTCTACTAACATTAGAACAATATTATTACTAAAAATTCATCTTAATCCAAGTAGTCCTCTATGAGAAATATGTAAAACTATGTTGACTTTAAAAACTTTGTAACTAAATTCACATCATTTCAAGTTTATAGGAGATCACAATCTAATTTATTTAATGGATGAAAGGCCAAGCAAATGGAAACAAATGAAAATATGTTACAAGCTATTCACACTTTGCATACTTTTTTCCATTTCATTTTATTTTACAGATATCTAACTTTCATCCTCTCATCTTTCAACAAATTACAATGATGAATTCTGTCTAAAATACAAATTACGGTTCCCATATAAATAACTTCCAAAGCTAGGTACCAGAGATGTGAAAGTTTTGATAGTAATATTCCACTTCTGAATTTAATTTCAATGTTCAAGAAAATAGAATTATCATAGTTAAGCATTAATTGTGTTCCAAATTTATGCTATACCTCTAAATTGATGTATTTTAGACTATAATATAACTTGCATTATTATTAAGATTTTCTCTATTTAAAAATGTGTTATTGGAATAGAGATACATTTTATTTCAGACATGCCATAATTACAGCCTTTAAGTTATATTTGTCACTGAGGATTTATCATCATTTATTTTTTCAACAAATCCTTTTTGAAGGACAGTTATGCATCAGTTACTTTCCTAAGATATTGCTATATGGCAAACATTAAAGTGAGCAAAATTCCCATTCTCATGGAATTTTGCTTTTAATAAAAAAGAAAACTTAATAAACAACATAAATTTGGATATTAATTGTTGTAGCGAAGGAAATAACTAGAAAATAATATATAGCGAGAAATGGAGAGCCACTGGAGGAAGTCATGATTAAAAAATATGTCTCGGCTTTATTTGTAAGCTATTGATAGTAGAACTATGAAAGTAGATAAAGGGAAACCAAATAGAAGGCTAATGAAATAATTTAGGTATAATTAAAAGGACAACCTTAGAAAGAAAGTGAGGTTTGGGATAATTAAACAAATTCATTATTTATCAGACATGATTCTTGGCACTGATGATTTATCGGTAATATTTAGAGATAATTTATCTCTAAATAAAGCACAATTTCCTGTTCTCATGGAGCTTACTATTCTAGTGGGGAAGCTAGACAATTAAAAAAAGTAAGCAAATTAGAATGTGTGTTCGGATGACATAAGTGACAAAGTAAAATATTGCATCAGGGATTGGAGGCAGAAGTTATCATTAGAGTAGCATGGTCAAGAAAATCCTCATTCATAATATTTAAGTAAATGCACAGGTGATAAGGGGGTAAATCCTACAGACATATGAGAGGAGAGCATTCCAGAGAGAGGAAATAGGGAGTACAAAGCCCCTGAAGCAGAAACGGAAACTTAAGTTTGAGGAACAGTGAGAAATGAATGATCCTGGAGAAGAATGATTAAAGCAAAATTAATAGATGCAGCCAGAAGGATGGTAAAAAGATCTTGTTTTGAGTAGTTAAGTTTTACTTGTAGTAGTAGATTATGAAGCTAGAGGGATTTGTGTAGAGCAGTTAGCTATGTGTGTTTTAATAGGACCATTCTAGCTACTGAAATAAAAATAAACTCCAGAGAAAAAGGGCAGAGACAAGAGACTATGGCAACAATCTTGTCACAAGATGGTGGTGTCTTGGACTAGGGTGTTCTGCATGGAGATAATAAGTGCTCAGATTCTGGAATCTGAAATAAATAAATAAAACTGACCTTATTTTCTGACTAATTAGATGCATGCTTCAAAATAAGTATTCATTTTAATTCAACATTTTTTAAGAACCTGCAGTACACCATTCTACATCTTGAGGACACATAAGTAAATAAAACAGAAAAAAATATGCCCTCTTGATGCTTATATTCTAGAGGAAGAGGATCGATTCTGACTCAAGAAATAATAATACTGATCACCAGGACATGCAGAGGGTTCACTAACAGATCGAGATGATTCGGAAAGGAAGCTTGGGATCTTGTTTTCAGACATTTTATTTTTTAGATGCTGTGAGATGTGGAAGAAGCAGTTCAACAGAGAAGCTAGATGCACAAGTTCAGGGGAGAGGTCTAAATTGAAGATTTTAATCTGTCAGTCATTAGCTAGAGATGAGAAGTAAGGCTCTGAGACTGGAAAATGACACCAAAGAAGTTGATATAAATAGGGAAAAGAGGTTGGATTGATCCACGAGGGACTTTCATATCAGAGATCTGGAAAATGAGGATACACTCTTACAGAAAGGGAATAAGAAAGACCAGTGGTAGCTGGAAAAACTCCTTCACACCAAAATATTTGCAAAAATTCATTTTATTTTTCCATAAAATAGAAAAATGTATTATCATCATTCAGTGTTTTTATCTGATGAAACCATAGAGGTTTAAAAAAAGGTGGCTACTTCAAATCACTGTGAATAAGCAGAAGCAGCAGGGTTGTGTCTGGGGTATAAATTCATCCTAAATTGAGGAGGAAAGATCAATGTATATGTTTAACAGAGAAAAAATCTACTTAACGGTTTTGGGAAGAAGTGAAATTTTATTTCTCAAGTCATTGTTTGACTATTGAAAAACCGTTTCTAGGAAGACTGGAGAGGTAGAACATGAAACTATTACCTGAGTGTCTATTTACAATCTGCTCTTCTTCTGTCATTTTTTTTTTAACTATAGAAATGATATACTATATAAGTAACAGAGTCCCAGCCTGGTTCTTGGAGAAAGTAAGTTATGATTAAGCATATCTCTTGAATTGCAAGAATGGACCAATAGAGATTTTTGCAAGCCTCTGGGAGGAAACTTATCTTTTGAAAAAAGGAGGAGCCAAAACAAATGAAACCTGTTCTGGCATAATATACCCCTCATCTTCAGCTCCCTAGGATGCATACTGAATATTATGTATACACGTGTCACACATACTAAAAGTTAGGCTCCAGGAAGATATATGTAGGTGTACTGGGGACAGCAGCTCACCCAATGGTGTAACCCCATCTTCTGTCTGAAGCCACTGAGAAAAATTAGTGTATAGAGATCTGTATATGTGGAAGATTAAACAATAGATGTATTGGCAGTGTTCTGCTCCTCTTCCCTGGTTAAAGGATATGTAAATCCCTGTTCCTCAATGAATAGTTCAATGCACAGAAATTGGGAAGGAAGTGTACATGGGATCCTTGAAGAAGCCTCTGCCATCTCCTGAATGACAAATGCAACACTGGGACTGAATACCCCTTGTCCTCCCTAGCATTAGTAAGCAGCATTATTTGTTAATTCTGCACATCTGTGAGAACCACTCAGAAATAATATGCCATAAACTTATCTTTCTCATTCAGAAGGATTAATCTCCTTGAAATAAAACAAGCTGTGACCCACAGCAAAGGATGTTTTCTATAGTAAAACAACCCAAAGCTAATGGCTCTTTTATGCAATTGTATCATTCAAGAAGAGGCCAGTGCTCTCTGCTCACCTGTCACAGGAAAAATAAAGATGTTAAAATTACTTGTATCAACAATCAGTGCACTTGATTTACCGCCTGTGATGTGTGTGACTGAAGTGGCTGAGCCCTGCGTGCTTGATGCTGTATTCGAGCTGTCTCCCAAGTGTAAGGTTCTGAATAGACAGTGCAGCAGGAAGGTGGCTGAAGAGGAGAAGGTACAAAGTCATCACTGTTCTTTAAAAGAAAAATCTGAGAGCCAAATATTTTATGACTCTCCTTCTCATCTATCTATCTATCTATCTATCTATCTATCTATCTATCTATCTATCTATCTAATCATCTCCCACTTTTTCTTTTATCCCATGTCAGTTCTCTCCTCTTCCACTTTTCTCTTCACATTTCTTTTACATGCCACTGTTTTTCAGAGAACAGACTCTACCTAGGTGGTCTAGGATAGAATCTAAGTTAATCTATTCTACTTTAGTAGATGTGTTTCTTTGGGTAAATTACACAGCTTGCTTCACTGTTGTCAGTTTTCTATTCTTTAAATGGGCATTAGTTAAATGGAATTAAGTAAACATTTAACTTAGAGTTTTTTAAGTGCTTAGAGTTTTTTAAGTTCTACAGGAGTGGTTGGTATTCTTAGTAAATTAAATTAATAATTAATATATAACAAATTATTACTTATTACTTATTAAATTATTACTTCTCTTGGTCCTTTGTATTGATAGTAACATTACTGCAATAAAAACTAACCTTTATATATGGAATAAATAGTATCAGAATTATTATTAGTTTTTGAAGACTACAATTTGCAAGTAAAAGACATTACAAATGGCTTATTTAAAGGTATGTAGCTCTAGACTTGAATGATTTGATTTTGATGACTTTAAACTTTCTTATTCTACAGAATTTAGCAAAATACTCTTTGAGTACCATGAAAAGAACTTAGGAGCCGCCCAGAATAGAGCCTTTTTCTTTCTATTCAGTTCAATCTGTGGTTTCCCAGACTTTGATTTTGCTTCCAAGTAGTTAGTCATATTTTTCCACATAGTACAAAAGCTAGGAAGATTATAGGGGAGACATACTGAAGAGAAAGGAGAGATATTCATTAGATTATGTTCTAAATTGCAGTCATCAGTGACTACATGTAATTCACTCTGCCTTTATCATTCTTTGGTTTACTACTTTATGTAACATATTCAGGTCGTCTTTCTACCCACAATTGTTTTTCTTTTAAGCGGTTTTGTTTTCTTTATATATTTTGTCTTTCCTTAAACATTACAGCATCACAGATGTGTTTAAAAACTTTGAATGGTTTTAATAAAAATAAAATAAATATTGAAAATAAATACACAAAAGGGATGTCTTCTTATAACACTATCCCAATATTCACCTTTATAAATTACATTGGCTAAATTTGAGATAGCAACTGTTAGAGAAATTTTGGTCATCTTCTTCTAGGCTGTGATTGTTGTTATTGCGCTTGTTAAAAACGCATTGCAAAATAATTTTAGATGTAATTTACGGAGTGAAGTTAAAAAAATGTTTAAACTTAATCTGAAATATATGGTTTCCTGCAAGCAGCAGTTATATATTAATCACACATTTATATTTTACATATATTATAATTACTTTATCTACTCTATATGCACACTAAGGAATAATATGAAAATTGCAGTGTTCACTTAACAATAATATATAGTTGAGACAGAGCGAATAAAGTTCTGGGCCCAGATATGGAACCAATTGATGATCTAATACCTTTATGTTCTTGTGTCCTGTTTATATTTTCTCTTCCTTTTGTCTTTCCTCAGAGAAACAGCAGGATCTTCAGCTGCAGCTTCAGCTACAAGCATAAAAAATTTTGGAAATAAAAATGTCAACCAAAATAAAGAAAGCAGGATCAAATGATGTGGTGTTATTCAACATTCACGGCACAATATGAAGACTTGCATGGATTCGACTTTGTGTTTATTTCAGAGATACAGAATATATTTAACCAGAGCTAAAATAGTGACAATTGTTACTGAAATGTTACGTAAAGGTGTTTTTTTTTCTATTTAATGATGTGTACTTTAACTAAAAATTTTAATATTGATATCAAAGGGAATGAAATATTTTAGATAAGTACTTCTTATTCAACATATTAAAAATATAGTTTATGTTTGATTACTTTTCTATTTCTGCTAAGGTAAAATAGTTTTATTACATATGACTTCAGAATATTAATATCTACTTGCGGAAATAAAAAGACTATCACCCTGTGAAAGCGACATCACTGTTCTCATATAAAACATGAGTATGACATTTTAGGTATGCCTTTTCTTTGCTTCACAATGGGAATTTGAATTTGCAAATGATTTTTGTTGAAAGGAGAGTGAAAATAGTATCAATAGTAAGCACCAATGAAGTGAGTTTTTTTTTTTTCACTTTCAGCAGAAGCCCATTGTGAAGTTAATAAATACAATTAACATTTGTTGTTTGTTTGTTTTTCTTCTCATTCTATATCCTAAAATATATTATATATATCACATAAGATCTTATACAAGACACATGTAGCATATTAGTCATATCTCTAAAGAAATTCAATAGCAAATGTACAATTTTTGTTATAATCAAGCTCAGCATGAATTTTTCTAAAAAGAGTTGAAGTAATGGCATTTTTATGATTGATTTTTTATTTTTTATTTTATTTTAAGTTCCGAGATACATTTGCAGAATGTGCAGGTTTGTTACAGAGGTATAAGTGTGCCATGGTGGTTTGCTGCACCGTTCAACCCATCATCTAGGTTTTAGACCCCATATGCATTAGATATTTGTCCTAATGCTCTCCCTCCCCTTGGCCCCCACCCCCTGACAAATCCCAGTGTGTTGTTCCCTTCCCTGTGTCCATGTGTTCTCATTGTTCAACTCCAACTTATGAGTGAGAAGATGCGGTGTTTGGTTTTCTGTTCCTGTTAGTTTGCTGAGGATGATGGCTTCCAGCTTCATCCAGGTCCTTGCAAAGGACAGAGTCTCATTATTTTTTATGGCTGCATAGTAGCCCATGGTGTATATGTATCACATATTCTTTATCCAGTCTATCATTGATGGACATTTGGGTTGGATCCACGTCTTTGCTATGGTAAATAATGTTGCAATAAACATAAGTGTGCATGTGTCCTTATAGTAGAATGATTTATATTCCTTTGAGTGTATATACCTGGTAATGGGATTGCTGGGTCAAATGATATTACTGGTTCTAGATCCTTGAGGATTTGCCACATTGTCTTCCATAATGGTTTAATAATTTACATCTCCAACAACAGTGTAAAAGTGTTCCCATTTCTCCAGAGTCTTGACAGCATCTATTGTTTCCTGACTTTTTGATAATCACCATTCTGACAGGTATAAGATGGTCTCTCATTGTGGTTTTGATTTGAATTTCTCTAATGATGAGTGATGTTGAGCTTTTTTTGATATGTTTGTTGGCTGCATAAATGTCTTCTTTTGAGAAATGTCTATTCATATCTTTCAGCCACTTTTTGATGGAGTTGTTTTTTTCTTAAGTTCCTTGTAAATTATGGACATCAGACATTTGTGAGATGGTAATCATGCAAAAATTTCCTCCCATTCTGTAGGTTGCCTGTTCACTCTGATGATAGTTTCTTTTGCTGTGTAGAAGCTCTTTAGTTTAATTAGACCCCATTTGTCAATTTTGGCTTTTGTTGCAGTTATTTTTGGTGTTTTCTTCACGAAGTTTTTGCCCACGCCTGTGTCCTGGATGGTATTTTCTAGGTTTTCTTCTAGAGTTTTTATGGCTTGGGATTTTATGTTTAAGTTTTTAATCTATCTTGAGTTAATGTTTGTATAAGATGTAAGGAAGGAGTCCAGTTTCAGTTTTCTGCATATGGCTAGTCAGTTATCCCAGCACCATTTACTGAATAGGAGAAGGCTTCCCCATTGCTTGTTTTTGTCAGGTTTGTCAGAGAAATAATGGATGAATTTCTGGACACATGCACTCTTCTAAGACTAAACCAGGAAGAAGTTGAATCCCTAAACAGACCAATACAAAGTTCTGAAATTGAGGGAGTAATTAATAGCCCACCAACCAAAAAAAGCCCAGGGCCAGACGAATTTACAGCCAAATTCTATCAGAGGCACAAAGAGGAGCTGGTAGCATTCTTTCTGAAACTATTCCAAACAATTGAAAAGGAGGGACTCTTCTCTATCTCATTTTATGAGGACAGAATCATTCTGATGCCAAAACCTGGCAGAGGCACAACAAAAAAAAGAAAACTTCAGGCCAGTAACCCTGATAAACATTTACGCGAAAATCCTCAATAAAGTACTGGCAAACCGAATCCAGCAGCACATGGAAAAGCTTATCCGCAACGATCAAGTCGGCTTCATTCCTGGGATGCAAGGCTGGTTCAACATATGCAAATCAAATCAATAAACGTAATCCATCACTAAACAGAACCAATGACAAAAAAAATATAATTATCTCAATAGATGCAGAAAAGGCCTTTGATAAAATTCAACATTGCTTCATGATAAAAACTCTCAATAAACTAGGTAGTGATGGAACATATCTTAAAATAATAAAAGCTATTTATGGTAAACCCATAGCCAATATCATACTGAATGGGCAAAAGCTGCCAGCATTCCTTTTAAAAAGTGACACAAGACAAGGATGGCCTCTCTCACCGCTTCTATTCAACAGAGTATTGGAAGTTCTGGCAGGGTGACCAGGCAAGAAAAAGAAATAAAGTATATTCAAATAGGAAAAGAGGAAGTCAAATTGTCTCTGTTTGCAGATGACACGATTGTATACTTAGAAAACCCCATCGTCTCAGCCCAAAAACTTCTTAAGCTGATAAGCAACTTCAGCAAAGTCTCAGGATACAAAATCAATGTGCAAAAATCACAAGCATCCCTATACACCAACAATAGACAAGCAGAGAGTCAGATCATGAATGAAATCTCGTTCACAATTGCTACAAAGAGAATAAAATACCTAAGACTACAGCTTACAAGGCATGTGAAGGACTTCTTCAAGGAGAACTACAAATCACTGCTCAATGAAGTAAGAGGACACAAACAAATGGAAAAGCACTCCATGCTCATGAATAGAAAGAATCAATATCATGAAAATGGCCATACTGTCCAAAGTAATTTATAGATTCAATGTTATTGCCATCAAACTACCAGTGGCTTTCTTCAGGGAACTGGAAAAAAACTACTTTAAATTTCTTGTGGAACCAAAAAGAGCCCATATAGCCAAGACAATCCTAAGCAAAAAGAACAAAGTTGGAGGCATTACACTACCTGACTTCAAACTATACTTCAAGGCTACAGTAACCAAGACAGCATTGTGCCAATACCAACACAGACATATAGACCAATGGAACAGGGCAGAGACCTCAGAAATAATACTACACATCTACAACCATATGATCTTAGAGTTAACATTTTTATTACATTTGACATCTGTCTATGTAGTTCAGACCTTCATCTTTAAACACACATTTTGGTCTGGGCATGGTGTCTCACGCCTGTAATCCTAGCAGTTTAGAAGGCCGGAGTGAATGGATTGCTTGACCAAGACCAGCCTGGGCACCATAGCCAGACCTTATCTCTATACTGTCAGAAAATGTAAACAAATAAAAATGAAAAAAATTGACAGATAATGGGGTAATAGTGTATGTAAGATAAGCTTTAGGTGCTTGTCAATTTGTTTTTTAAAATTTTACTATTCATCGCTTAAAAATATATCGCATTATTGTAAGCATATTTTAATACATATTTTAAATAGTAATGAATGAATATTGATAGAATAGTTTTAGCATATCTGATTTCATCAAAATATTAGCTGATAATTAAATCATTATAAAATATGTTTGAATAGCGATTTGAAAACATATTTTTAAATCTGTAGGACACAGACTGACACATTGTAGCCTCACAAATATATTTTCTGAATAACAAATGTAATGAGCTTTGTGAAACCTACATGTATGTTAAATAATTACTAGCATTAATATGTAGCCCCATTAATTAGAAAAATGATAAGAAATCTGAAGCATTCTGAAATTTTAGTGTAAATATTATATGTATGTGTGAAAAAAGACCACCAAGAGACTTTAGATAAAATTTTATTGAACTATTACAACTTCAGGACAAGTCTAATGTAACTATTTTTGCAGGAAGTAAAGAGTTTATAGCACAGGTGAAAATTAAGTCAGAGTAGTAGCTGATGAATTTGTCTAAACACAGTGTTTTGGAGGCCTTTAAAAAAAAAAAAACCTGTTTTGTTACAAACATTCTCTTTTCTTCTACTTTTGTCAACCCTTACAACCCAAGATTCAGTTAGGTAAATTCAATTAGGCAGCTTGTTTTTTACCATTCTATAAAATCATTCGTTACATTCAATTTCAAATATGAATATTATTTATATAATATATTGAGTTTCACTGCATAATATCATTTTCCTTTTTTAATTTAATTTTTAGAAAATATTTGCATATGTAACTACTCAATTTCTGAGCATTTTTAAGCACTATGTATGTGTGCATTATCAAATTATTTATTATTTTTTCTTCATTTGGGGGTGTTAATTCAGTGCCTGTTATAAAGTGGAATTTGACCAAGAATCATTGATTAGAAGGAAACTAGGAAATAGTCATTGTCTTAACAATGTTAATAGAAACAATATATAAAGATATGCCATATCAACATTTAAAATGTCAGCATTATAACAATATGCATGTTGAGGAATGTGAGATCAGAGGAAAGATATAATTCATGCCATCTTTATGCTGCATTAAAAGAAATCTTGGAAAAGGAGAATGTCCTCTCAAAACAATTTAGATTTATTTTTTCCAATGCCAGATGAATGAGGTCTCAGAAACAAGTTCAATTTATCTGAAGGACAAAAAAATTATTTCTTTTACAGCTAGTATTTTGGGCTAAAATATATATCTAATGCTTAGCAAATGGTAGAGACCAAGATTTTCAAAGCATATTTTTACTTTATGTTCTCTTCTGATTTTATGAATTACTATTCACAGATTTCAGTATATACTTTAAATAGAATTCTATAAATGCAGCTGTCTTTAATTTTTCTTCAGACACTGAATTAAAAGTAATCACTGCAATACTTCTCTGAAAGTTTTTAGTATTTTTGACATTTGTAAATAATTGACTTTTTAAAAATAAAGTTGAGCAATTCATAGTGCTCCCTGTGATAACATCATTATCAGTTGCTGTCAGTCCTTGTTCAAGCAAGATGAAAGGATGGAGTTCAAGTTGGTACACAGGATACTATGGATAACTTACAGTCCATCTCATCTGTGTTAGAGCCCAAAGTATACATCGCCCCTTAAGTTTCAGGTCCAGAGCAAAAGATACATGGACACATTTACCTAATTAGAAAATTAGTATCAACATTAATGGATTTGATAATGTCTATAACATCTACTTTAGTCATTGACACCACACCCTTCTGTTGCCCTGCAATGGGAAGAAAATCAGAGACCACAAGCAAGGACAACCTTAGTTCATTCCAAAATTGTGCTCAAGTGCAAAGCTTTGTATTAGGCATTGGGGAAACCAAAGAATTACAGTTGTTCTTTATCCCTGAATAGATTACCAGAGGAATCCTCAGCCTTTACTGAAATAAGCTATGTACTGTTCATGCCCCCAAATGTATAAGAATCAGATAACAGTATAGCAAATGCGAAAATCTTCCTTATAGTGTTCAAAATCCTGCAATTCAAACAGCTGGTTTCAACTGAAAAATTTCTAGGACATTATTTAGCAAAGTATACCATAAATGTTGAAAAATATATTTTTAAATCAAATGGCTTTGAAAATACTGGGTTGGATAGAGTTAAACAAGTTTATTTCTTCATTTATTAACTTTTTTAGTTGCAAATACTATACACTTTAAATAAGCCAAAAGAATTTAGGTGGGGTTCTTCCACATTGTTTTTATTTTTTAAACTTCTATATTGAAATGATTGTAAATTCACAGTCAGTTGTAAAAAATAGTACAGAAATATCCCATGTATCTGTCATTCAGTCACCTTCAACGGTAACATCCTACATAAGAATAGCAAAGTATCACAACCAAGAAATTGGCAAAATAGTTATTTTAAAAGCTGCCTCAGAGACTTTAACACTACAATGATTTTCTGGAAGAATCGCACTGTCGTTCTGGGAAACGGGCAATAATAGGCAATATGCCCAATCCTACTTGACTGTATAATGTTTTATTATTTTTTTCCTTTAGTAAACAATGTCACAGGATCTGTACTATATGGAACATCTTCTAGAAAACATTTCCCTAAAAATACAGTAATGGAGATAATATCTCTAAGCTTATATCCCAGTTGATCAAATGTTGGTGGCAGTTTCTGCTTTCTGGATTATAGTGAAGTAGGTTGTCCAGACACAAAATAATTGAACAAGATGTACAAGAAATAAGTTGTATGTTAGTTTACAAAGAGAAACTTGGTTATGCTGAATAAATATGTAATTAAACATATATTAATTTATATATATGCATATATATTCAATTTAAAAGTGAGAAATCTGCTGATTCTAAGTATAATAAAGTTATTTAAGGGAAAAAAATTATAATTTTAAAGCTAGTAACAACTTCATTATATTACTTTTTGATGAAAAGGATTCAAATTGATGTGTTTCATTGTATTGAAGTATATATCTGATAAACATTTTATGCGTCCCTTCAATGTGTTTGAATTTTTCCTAGAGGCTAATGATGTAACACTACATAAGATTTAATCTTTACCCTCAAAACACTCACAGGCTAAATCAAATAGTAATCAAAGTATGATTTTAATGGTTGCAAAGATGTACATCAAAGGATTATATTTTTTCTGTAAAGATTTACCCTGTTTCTTATCCTTGGATATGGAATAATTATTTGACTATTTGTTAGAATGGATTGTGTTTAGTAATCTTATTGATATCAGCTTATTATCTACCTCCAAAGGCCTATTTTATAAAAATAAAGAAATCTTGAGGCAAACAAATATTCAGAATTAATGAGGCATAAGACATTTCTACACTGAGAAATCCGGTGACAAATTTATTCAAATTCTGCTGAATATGTAAATAATTATACTATCGTGGTGATCTTTTTCCATAATACAGAGGAGATAATTCAGATATGCCATCTATAATAGACACATTTGTGTGAATATTTTGCTAATTTGAGGACAGCCATAATATATTAGAGTCCTGCCCCACAAGCACTACTTTTTTGTAAGACCTTAGTTGATACACAATTCGCATACTATATAATTCACCTTTTCAAGTGTACAGCTGAGTTTGTTTTCAACTGTGACCATTATCTACTTGTAGAATACTTTGTCACCCCCAAAAGAAACCTCGTGCTAATTAGTAGTCACTACCCATCTTTCCTTCGCCAGCCTGTGGCAAACACTAATCTACTTTCTGTCTCTATATGTTTGCTATTCTGGACACAATATAAGTGGAATCGTACATATGGGAATGGCTTTTTTTACTTAGCATATTGTTTCCAAGTTTTATCCATGTATTACCATATGCCAGTACTTTAGTTTTATCATTGAATAATATTCAATTGTATGAAAATACTACATTGTATATTTACCCTTCATCCACTGATAGATATTTGGGTTCTTTGCATTTTGGGAAATACATATTTTCATAAGCATTTTTTTTTTTTTGAGATGGAGCACCACTCTGCCGCACAGGTTGGAGGGAAGTGGCGCCATCTCAGTTCACTGCAGCCTCTGCCTCCTGGGTTCAAGCTTTTCTCCTGCCTCAGCCTAGCTGGATAGGAGAGTAGCTGGGACTGCAGGCATCCGCCACCAAACCCGGCTAATTTAAGCTTTTTAATGCATCTTTGCCTAGGCATGTTCTTCTTACACTTCAGATTTCCAACATTAGATTTCACAGACATGCATACATACAAACACACTGAATTCCTGTAGAATAGATTACAGGAGGAGGTGCTACTATAATGTGGTGCTTGACTGGTGAGAGTACTTTCCGGTGCTCCAATCCCTATGAGTTAAAACTTGTGTGATACCTTTAAAGCTTATTTTCTTTTTAATTGTCCCAATATTGTTTCAGACAAGCTTGCTTATTTAATTACAAGCACACCTGTAGAGGTCAGTAAATTATCAAGGTCAACAAAGTCTAACCCACCCTGGAGAAGAAAAGGTCACCTGAAATATGGTGGTGCCTTCCTCTTGTTTGTATGATGTAAGTGCCATAATTTATAAAGTATACATTTACAGTTTTGCATTACAGCTAGGGACTTCGGGAATGGTAAAGGAACAACATTGCCTATTAGTGGCTATTCTGTGTTCTAACCCAGATTAGCTCAAAGTTGATCATGCTGAGATGAAAGAAGGACCTGAGATATGGTCTCCATATTTTCCATTTATGTTTTAATAAAATATGCCAGTATAACTACACAATAGATTTTTGAATGTAAATGATTATAAAGTTCATTTTATTCAATATCTAACCAATAATTATACCTGAACTATTGTGTCTCTAACAAATATATGCATTTACTGATTTAACCTTTTTCTTTCCCTCAGTAAATATATATTTTCCTGGTCTAATAACTAAGAATGTAGCAGTAAGCAATCCAAAGAACACAAATATGGTTCTTGCTGTCAACAAATGTACATTCATATGGGAAAAAATAATTGAGAAAATAAACAAATTGCTGGTTTTGATAAATACTTTTAAGAAATAGGGAACGACAGCATGAACAGGAATGGCAGTGGAGGAGGAAATATTTAAGCTAATATCTAAAGGATGAAAACAACTAGTAACAAGAAGAATCAGGCAGGAAGAATATCAGGCACAGGGTAATTTCAGTGACCCAACATGAGGTCAAGATTGGCATGTTCATGGTAGAGAAAAAGTTCAATGTGGTTCGAGTACAAAAGGGAAGGATAGTGTAGCACAGAGTAAAGATGAACTGGGAAGGGACCGTTAAAGGTCTTATAGGGAGTATGCGTTTTCTTTTTAGTGCATATGAAAGCATTAAAGTATTTTAAACATGGGACAAAATGATCCAACAACTTTATAAAAGGTTATTCTCACTACCATGTAATGCATAGTTTTGGTGACAGAATGTTTTAAATTGCTTTTAGAGTCTTCTAAGCAGAAGATAATAATGGTTAGGGCTATGAAAGTGGAGAGAAATATATGTTCAGACTCTATTTGATTATTCCTAGAAAGAATGCCTCCAAGTTTTTCTGTTTTTTTAAGAGAGGATGGATTGAATAAAGGCTTTCTTGAAGAATAAGTTAGTGTTTTGCTTCAAAATAAGCACTCTCAAAATCTCAGTAACAACAACAAATCTTTATTATTATTCTTTCTTACTGATAAGTAGGTGAGCTGTGACTTTGCTGAATTCCAATGGGTTTGTCTTCATACTTTGGGCTGAGATCAGGTTTGCTTGGTATGTTTTCTTAGTCTCTTCGGAGCAGCAACTACTCAAGGAATTCTCAATGCAGTTGCGAGAAGTTCCAGAGAGCTAACAAAACCATGTATGTTCGAGTCTTTCCTCAGATCTACCACCTTTTTCCTTCAAAACACATATTATAGACCAGCCTGTCATGAAAATTTACTATGTATTTCTTTTTTTATTATTATTATACTTTAAGTTTTAGGGTACATGTGCACAACGTGCAGGTTTGTTACATATGTATACATGTGCCATGTTGGTGTGCTGCACCCATTAACTCATCATTTAACATTAGGTATATCTCCTAATGCTATCCCTCCCCCCTCCCCTCACCCCACAACAGGCTCCGGTGTGTGATTTTCCCCTTCCTGTGTCCGTGTGTTCTCATTGTACAATTCCCACCTATGAATGAGAAGATGCAGCGTTTGTTTTTTTGTCCTTGTGATAGTTTGCTGAGAATGATGGTTTCCGGCTTCATCTATGTCCCTACAAAGGACATGAACTCATCCTTTTTTGTGGCTGCATAGTATTCCATGGTGTATATGTGCCACATTTTCTTAATCCAGTCTATCATTGTTGGACATTTGGCTTGGTTCCAAGTCTTTGCTATTGTGAATAGTGACACAATAAACATACGTGTGCATGTGTCCTTATAGCAGCATGATTCATAATCCTTTGGGTATATACCCAGTAATGGGATGGCTGGGTCAAATGGTATTTCTAGCTCTAGGTCCCTGAGGAATCGCCACACTGACTTCCACAATGGTTGAACTAGTTTACAGTCCCACCAACAGTGTAAAAGTGTTCCTATTTCTCCACATCCTCTCCAGCACCTGTTGTTTCCAGACTTTTTAATGATCGCCATTCTAACTGGTGTGAGATGGTACCTCATTGTGGTTTTGATTTGCATTTCTCTGATGGCCGGTGATGATGAGCATTTTTTCATGTGTCTTTTGCCTGCATAAATGTCTTCTTTTGAGAAGTGTCTGTTCATATCCTTTGCCCACTTTTTGATGGGGTTGTTTGTTTTTTTCTTGTAAATTTGTTTGAGTTCATTGTAGATTCTGGATATTAGCCCTTTGTCAGATGAGTAGGTTGCAAAAATTTTCTCCCATTTTGTAGGTTGCCTGTTCACTCTGGTGGTAGTTTCTTTTGCTATGCAGCTCTTTACTTTAATTAGATCCCGTTTGTCAATTTTGGCTTTTGTTGCCATTGCTTTTGATGTTTTAGGCATGAAGTCCTTGCCCATGTCTATGTCCTGAATGGTATTGCCTAGGTTTTCTTCTAGGGTTTTTATGGTTTTAGGTCTAACATTTAAGCTTTAATCCATCTTGAATTAATTTTTATATAAAGTGTAAGGAAGGGATCCAGTTTCAGCTTTCTACATATGGCTAGCCAGTTTTCCCAGCACCATTTATTAAATAGGGAATCGTTTCCCCATTTCTTGTTTTTGTCAGGTTTGTCAAAGATCAGATAGTTGTAGATATGCGGCATTATTTCTGAGGGCTCTGTTCTGTTCCATTGTTTTATATCTCTGTTTTGGTACCAGTACCATGCTGTTTTGGTTACTGTAGCCTTGGCCAGCATCATCCTGATACCAAAGCCTGGCAGAGACACAACAAAAAAGAGAGTGTTAGACCAGTATCCTTGATGAACATCGATGGAAAAATCCTCAATAAAATACTGGCAAATCGAATCCAGCAGCACATCGAAAAGCTTATCCACCATGATCAAGTGGGCTTCATCCCTGGGATGCAAGGCTGGTTCAACATATGCAAATCAATAAATGTAATCCAGCATATAAACAGAACCAATGACAAAAACCATATGATTGTCTCAATAGATGCAGAAAAGGCCTTGGACAAAATTCAACAACACTTCATGCTAAAAACTCTCAATAAATTAGGTATTGATGGGATGTATCTCAAAATAATAAGAGCTATTTATGACAAATCCACAGCCAATATCATACTGAATGGGCAAAAACTGGAAGCATTCCCTTTGAAAACTGGCACAAGACAGGGATGCCCTCTCTCACCACTCCTATTCAACATAGTGTTGGAAGTTCTGGCCAGGGCAATCAGGCAGGAGAAGGAAATAAAGGGTATTCAGTTAGGAAAAGAGGAAGTCAAATTGTCCCTGTTTGCAGATGACATGATTGTATATCTAGAAAACCCCATCGTCTCAGCCCAAAATCTCCTAAAGCTGATAGGCAACTTCAGCAAAGTCTCAGGATACAAAATCTATGTGCAAAAATCACAAGCATTCTTATACACCATTAACAGACATACAGAGAGCCAAATCATAATTGAACTCCCATTCACAATTGCTTCAAAGAGAATAAAATACCTAGGAATCCAACTTACAAGGAACATGAAGGACCTCTTCAAGGAGAACTACAAACCACTGATCAATGAAATAAAAGAGGATACAAACAAATGGAAGAACATTCCATGATCATGGGTAGGAAGAATCAATATCGTGAAAATGGCCATACTGCCCAAGGCAATTTATAGATTCAATGCCATCCCCATCAAGCTACCAATGACTTTCTTCACAGAATTGGAAAAAACTACTTTAAAGTTCATATGGAACCAAAAAAGAGCCCACATTGCCAAGTCAATCCTAAGCCAAAAGAACAAAGCTGGAAGCATCTCACTACCTGAAAATTTACTATGTATTTCAAGTGGAAAAGATGCATGTACACATGGCTAGGTTATGGATGCATAACTGCAATGCAAAGAGAAAGTAAAAAATTGAGATCACTACTCCAACCTACCTTGCCTAGTAGCTACAATTTTTATCTACTAGTTTCTAAATTTCTCTTCACAGACACACAGAAAATGCCTATTTTTTAATATTATAGAAGTTTGAATAGTTGAAGTCAGCTAGTGATATACAAGTCCCATTATATTTTCCAAGAAAAAATATCTTGCACTTTTAACCATTCCTCTGGTGTTAGAATATATTAAAATACTTGACATTCTGCCCCGAATTGTCCTTTCAAGTCTTATATCCAACAATGTCCAAGCTTTTGCCCATTTCTTTAATCACACAAGCAGATTCATGATTCCCTAAATACATCAATTAATTTCAACATGTCATGCGTTTATGCTTGCTCCTCCTTTTAGCAAAAATACGTCACCTACACCATGTCATACTGATAAAATCATTTATTTTTTTAATATGACATTCAAATATCAAGTTTATTGTAAAACCTCTCCTGATCCTGCAGGAAGGATTAGTAGACTCTTCATCTCTGTGTCATTCCATGTTTTAAATGCCATTTATAATTCAGTCATTGGAAGAGGAATGTCTTTTCCTCTCTCACAGCCATCTTGACTGCGGAAAATACATATAAATTTATCTTCATTTGTGACACTAGGAAAGATGCATCTATCAATACTGTGTATAATTTAGCATTCATTAAAGAAAACAGACATAACACTAGTATCTTAGACAGAAAATGGTTAAATAGAATTTGCTGTTTAAAATATGTTAGAAATGGTGAAGAAGCTTGATTGATTAAGTCTCTGGGAATGATTTTCAGAATACCACAGAACTAACCTGCCAGGGGCTCTACTCCTTCTGCCCTATCAGGAAGAAGGAGAGTGGTGGATTAGAAAGCTTAAACTGAAACCATTAGTTTCAGAACACATTGCTGTAGCCATGGTTCAGGGAACAGTAAGCTGGAGGCAAGATATTATCAGCTGTTCCCTCGAAACTAACACATAGAAACTTGGATTTAGGAATGTTACAACAGAAATGTCCACATCTCTGCAATCTGGCTTTCCAGCAGAAAAAAGGAGCAGAAACATAGCTTTCGTCTAAGTTTTACCTTTCAACTTTATATTAGTTCAGTGCATTTAGCTGTGAAAAACACTTACACTTATATTACTAATCAAAAAAGATTCATAAAAATAGAGATTTTTAACTGTTCCTCAATACACTATTTATGTGATACTTTAGTTTACCTCTTAGTTTTCCCTCCCCTTACCATAAGACCAAGTGATCTGATGGATGGACCAGCTCAGCTCTGACAAATATTGCTCCACATGTATCTGCTGGTACAGGTTTAAGGTATTAAAAACTGTGAGAACAAAAAACATTACTCTCTTGGTTTCTTGAGGCTTCTTCACTTAACGGAGTGTAAAGCAGAAGCTGGAAAGCTTAACATCTTCTCCATACACATGCCTCCTCTCTTGAGCTAATCCCTTTTCTCGGTTCAGAGCAAAGTGTTCCAGAAATCCATACCTATTTTGCTTCACAGGTAAGCAATGCCTTGAATTCTGGCATTATGATTTTTGGAGAGCCAAAAACAAAGGAAAACAAAAAATGAACAAATGAAACAACATACTCAAAGGGTAATTGAGTAGAATTAAGTTATCTTTCCCTAGTTCTAGAATTTACATTTTTAGAGGTCAGGACCCAGGGTAAGATCACAAGCTCTTCAGATTACAGAATATTCTCAGTGATTAGCACCTGAAAGGCTTTCCATTGCTTTGGTTAAATTTAAATGAATGTGATTCTCCTTTAACATCTTTTAATTTCACATAGTAAAAGGGCAACATAGGAATGTTCAACATAATTTTTGATAGTTAGGCAGATATAGGTTTGAACCTGGCTTTAGCTCTTCTCAAATCTGTTATCATGCTAAGTTACCTAAACTTCCTATTTCTCAGATTTTTAGCTATAATTGAGATATAATATTACCTATCCTGTCGGGCATTTGTAAAATGTAAATTTTTATAAGAAAATGTTATAATGATTAATAAAAGTGAGTTTTTTATTTACTTTCTTGTCTTTGCTCTCCTTAAAATTATGCAAAAACACATGTTCAGTTGCAATATATGTCCTCTCATTGTGTGAGGCCCAGAATTGAAAACAATGCTCTGGATATGATTTGTCTAACACATCTGTAAACGAGAGGCCACCATAGTAATTCAAATTAGATGTACCTAAACCATCATTAGATTATTTGATCAATAATTTATGCTACCGATTTAGATTACACTTAATCCCTAAAGTTTTGTTTATACCAACTGTTTTAGTTTACCTCTTAGTTTTCCGCATGTCTCTGCTGTATTGGAAATAATACAGATTGTGTGTTGATCTCTGTCACATTTTGTGTAGTCAGTTTGGACTGTTGCCTCTGCCAGTCAAGATTTTCTTTTATACTGATTCTCCACTTCTATATATACTCCTTACATTTTAAAACTTCTTGTCATCCATAAATCCTTTTGTACATCATGTTTATCCTCATAAAGGTTTCTACAAAAGTTATTGGTTAAGCCAAGCCTGAGGCAAGGACTTGGATTTTCTGTTACAGATCATTTTTTCAGATTGACAACCTTTTTGGCAACCTGATTACCCAGTTTATTCAATTATCAATTCTCTTAATTATGCTCATTCACCTTAAATCCTTCAACCTATTTCATAAAAATGTCATTGTATATTGTGTTAGATAAGTTGAAGAAATACAGATGCGCTTGACATTATAAAATACAACAATATCCCATTTGGGGGAAGAAAAAATCCTATAACACCTCAATTAACAGAATATTGATTTGATTTTGTTATTCACGTTTCTTTTATCTAATAAAACATAGACATTTATGAGCCAGCTGTAATGGAATAGTTATCAGACTTATTACTTTGCTACATATTATTCTTCCTTACAGAGTTGCATTATTTAACTGGTATCTTTAAAGCAAAGTATACTTCTTTGACTTACTGATGTAAGTCAGAATATTAATAATTATGCGGAGCCACTTTTGTTGTTACAATTATCCGAAGATTGTTCAGCTACATTGAACTTTGAAGGGCTTGAACTCTATGCTTGAATTTTTAAATTTAAGCAAAATAAAACGTTTGCTAATGGTAGCTTTCTATTAATACTTAATCTTGGAAAACAATATTGAGAAAATCAGTACCAACTTAACTCACAATATAAACTTCCTAATCATTTTTAAATTAACCTAATTTTGTAGTATCAGCCAAGGTTGAGTTAACTGATTAAAGGCAGACATCAAAATATATATCTGATGAACTTGGGGAACAGGCTGAATATGAGGCATCTATTTCAGTAAATTAATTATAAGAGTTTAAATGTCTATGTGTTGGAAGAAGTAAAGAGAAAGACAGGAGGTTATTTGCATTCGTCATGTCTTAAGCCCAGACATAAGACTCATAACTGAGCCTCATGGAGACAGAGTCATAGGCAGAATGGGAAGTGGCAATTATTGCACTCTTTTGATTGTCCTGGTTTGTTGCCATATGTTGGAATAGAACGCTTGGTCCACTTTCGAGGAAGCCCAGCAGAGCTTTGACATATAGGGTGTGCCAAGCAGTGCAGGGACAATCTGGGTCTTTCACTGGTTTTCATCAGCATTATGTGGATGAAGGGGCACCGCATTTGTATAGCCATCAGTGTTTATAAAATCAACAAAAGCTGCAGCAAAAGGGTTGAGGACTTCCCAGACAGCGTCCTGAAATGAAGAATTAGAGCAAAAGATTAAGACCACGTTATTCATGTCTGTAGCAGTATGTGCTTTTTATGTGTGCACATGAGGCAACTTTTGAGAATCTTCATACATAACTAGGTAAGAGTTTGAGGGAGTCTGAAAAAAATATATGGGGAGCTACAGTGAGGATCCAGTATAATTTTGAATATTACTACTAATATGATGTATTATTTACTTACAAGCAATATAGGACAGGGGAAACCAAAGTTGAATCATTTTTTTACAAATTATTCCTTACCCTAAAATAAAGTGCTAAATAATTCTTTTTCCGTTTAGGTTATGTCTTCTTGTCCAGCCTCTGTAGCTGCTAAAATACTTTTATGCATTTTAAATAAATATAAGGCAGGCCATTTCTCATTTTTTAACTCCTTTAGGATAGTAATCATATTGTATTCACCTTTGTTTCAACACTCATCATACTGTGGAATATACTACGTATTCAACAATTCTTTTTATTGTAAATATTAAATGTATGACATAAAGCCTTTGAGTAAATGTTAATATATAACTCTATTCACAATGAGAGTGTGTGTCTTTTCTCTGCGTCTACTTTACATGGAAAGTGAGACAGAGAACTTAACCTACAGGTAACAAAAAAAAGCAGAAATTTGAGTTTCTCAACATCAGAATCATTATATTTTAGAAATAATAATTATGTGTACTCAAAACTCAGTTATAAAAAATAGTGTAGACTGACTTGCCAATAATATACAGCTCAAATTTGAATTTTAAAGTTTATACTTTATAACATAGTCCTGAATCCTATGAAAATAAATGTATGTCTATTGTAATGAATTAAGAATATGGACATGATGATTAGAGAAAATTAAAAGCAGAAGTTCTCAGCTATTATTATTATTATCATGTTTTTATGCTGATGGATATGTCAGTAGTGAAAAGCAGATTGCCTATTTGTGTATTTTTTCATGTGCTGTATCATATCCTGTGATCACTTTCCCAGATGGTTCCTCGTGTGTTCATACTTACATTTCCCCACTGATGTTTACATTGTCTTTCTATTTTTGTTTTCCTTACTTAAACAAAACAAAACAAAAGAATGCTTATTCTAATTTCATTTTTTCCTTCGATGTCTTATAAAATCAAATAGGGTGTAGTTTTGCTGAACATTATTTTCACAATTGAAAAAAATATGGTAAGTCTTTTAAATAACATTTTAACAAATTCGATAGTAGTCTTTGATTTAAAACAAAAAAGAAAAAAATTAGAAGCTACTCTTTCAAGCCAGAAAGGACTCCAAAGAAATTAAAGATCTGACAATGAGTCTGCTTAATAAAATATACTATCACTGAGGCAAAAATGAGAAAAAAAATTGGGTGAGAAAAACATATTGGAAGTTAAGATAACAATTCAGAATATGTCTACGCCTTCAGTTCATAAGTCTGTAAACACTTTATATGTGTGTGAATGATATGTTCAAATAATCAATCAGTTTTTTGATATGTTGTTTCTCTGACGAAAAACGTACAACCTTAAATCAGCCAAAATTTACCTAATTGAATTTTAATATTTTCATACAAAATATCTGGGAGACACAGTGCTTAAGAGTTAAAGAAACATCTAATAAACTATAATAAACTGCAATTTTTATAATCAGGATAGTGATTCTCACTGTTCATATGTTCCTTTCTGTTCATATTTATCTTTTAAGCAGACACAAAAATAGTATCATCTTATCTCTATACTTTAAAAGTATATCTTTCAAAATACAGTCTTTTGGGGCAACAGATGCCATCACAGAGCCTCCCTAGATACACTGAACAATAGTATTTTGTTCCATCCTACAGGCTCCCCTCCATGAAGGTCTCTTAATACCAGTAAGATTCATGCAGGCTATGGCAGAAGTGGCTTTCTGAGTGCATGACCTATGCAGTTGCACAGGTCTCTGTGCCTAGAAGGACCACATGCTTGGTTTAATATTCTGCTATACCACTTAAAATCCTTAATAATTTTTGGATGATGAGCCCACGTTTCATTTTGCCCTTGGCACCACAAATTATGAGCATTCTTGGGCCATAGGGAGGAGGATTGAATCTCTATTGCAGAGAGTCTCATTGAGCTCTGTTACTTCCTTCAGAGATTGTGTGTAGCAGCTGCGCTGTATAATCAGCTAGGCCCACAACCAGAAATTATCCCATCTTTCTTTTCCCTGGTAGCACAATTTGACTGTATCTCACTTTACGATTCACACTGTCGTCTCTCATTTTCCTCCTTCAGGGTTTCCCCACTGTCATGGAGGTGTACTCTGAACAATGAGCTACGTGAGAAGCAAAGGTGGATAAATTCTTCTCTTGCTTCTCTGCTAAGAGAATAATTTGAGACATAGTGTTTCCATATGACCTTGGCAGAATCTTCTTCTGAGACAGCTGTCTGTGTTTTCTGACAAAATTAAAGGCTTGGTAATACACTTCCTTATGTTATTTTCCTTCTTACTCTACAACACAGAAATAAAGCAATAACAATAAAGATTGGCCTCAAGACATACATATTTTTTTTTTGTTAAACAGAGTCTGGCTCTGTCGCCCAGTCTAGAGTGCAGCGGCATGATCTCGACTCACTGCCACCTCTGCCTCCCAGGTTCAAGCGATTCTCCTGCCTCACCCTACAGAGTAGCTGGGACTACAGGCGCTTACCACCATGCTTTTCTAATTTTTGTAATTCTTAGTACAGACAGGGTTTCACCATGTTGGCCAGGGCTGGTCTCGAACTCCTGACCTCAGGTGATTGGCCCACCTAGGGCTTCCAAAGTGTTGGGATTACAGGCATGAGCCACTGCACCCAGCCCCAAGCTATTTTTAAGATACCCAAACTAAGATATTCAGGGACAGTGAAAATGTCCAAATAAGTGTTCTGTTCTTTAAATAAAATATTTAGGTATCAATAAAAGTAATTAAATAATGACATAGGAATAAATTCACGAATAGTTATGGTAATAAGCCAACTATTTGTCTATGAGTTCATGAAACCATTCAGGTTCTGCAAACAACTGCTGCTTTCCAAAATGTTTCATTTAGATGCACTATTCCTGATACTATTAATAGTTTGAATTCCAATTGACAATTCACAAAATACATGCATCAATTTTATTTCATACATTTTAAAATAGTTCCTATAGAATTCATAGTATTTGTGAAAAAAAATTGAATATTAAGTAATTTAAAAATCATTTAGCCTTATGTGTAATATTTAACAGGGCAAAGTCTATATTAACTACAAAATGTTTACTTATTGTATGCAAAAGGAATAAAGTGAAATGTATCTTTATGAAAAAAAAAGAAAAGAAATTATCCACTTGGGTCAATGTGTAAGAAGGTAAAATTAAATTTAAAGTTTGTGTTTAATCTAGATGCTCTTGTGCCCAAGTCTATGTCAATATGAAATAAGTATTTTACCAATGCATTTATATTGGCAAAAGCAAGTATATAGATAAGGTTGATGGGTAAATTAAGTGAATGCAATTATGTAATGAAGTGGCTTTACTATTGCTCCTTTACTACAAGTCTCTGTGCCTAGAAAGATGACATACTTGGTCTTAACCCTCTGCTGTACCACTTAAAATCTTTAATACTATTTGGACAATGAGCTCACATTTTATTTAGACTTGGGCACCACAAATTATGGCCATTCTTGGGCCATAGGGAGAAGGATTGAATCTCTATGGCAGAAAGGCTCATTGAGCTCTGTTACTTCCTTCTGAGTTTTATTGTTTAAGAAACATTCAGCGACAGCACAATGTTTTCAGCATTATACTTCTATTCTCACTCTCTTGTTCAAGACCTCACTTTCCATGCCAGTTACAATTTCTAAATGTATAATCCATTTGAGGTTCTATAACCAAAGTTAGAGATGGGAATTAAAGAATGACAATCTTTAAAAAGATTACCTGCACCTTATCTCTTGCATTCTCTGTGTTTCCTATATAATATGTTGATAAATGTCCTTTTTCTCCACCTCATTTAAAAGTCACACTTTTCATTGTTTTTTTCTACTCAACATTCAAGTGGCAAAAATTACTGGCACAGTCTTTTCTTATTAAAGATTAACACATTTTTGTTTATTTCATTGTTAAGTAAGTAGTAACTTGGAAGGGGACCTGGATTAGAAAACAGGAAAAATGTCCGGTAATACCAGTCAACATTCCACCTCGGACGAGCTCCTCAATTTCAGTGGGCTTTAATTTTCTAATTTAAATAATTAAAATCTTACTTTTGTGACACATTTTTGTAATTGCTATGATCAAAATTCCTGATAACCTCAATCAAGATTTTCTTCAATTAAACATATACAATGCTAAATGAATATAAATTTTATAGAAAAAGGAAGCCAACAAAACCCAAGTTTTATCCCAGATCATTAATGTTTCATACTCAAATGAAATAGATAGCATCTTCTACTTAGTGCATAGTTTCTCAGTGAAACAGATACTTCTTCAGGTATTTTGATAGAATAAATCTTACAAAGAATTGGAGGCTTTCGTAAGTGTGGAAGGATTAGAAGCATAGGGATCACAGAAATTCTCTCAGTAATCTTAGCACTTACAATACCAAGAAGGGTGATTCTGTAGACCAATGGAACAGAACTGAGACCTCAGAAATAACGCCACACATCTGCAACTATCTGATCTTTGACAAGCCTGACCAAAACAAGCAATGGGGAAAGGATTCCCTATTTAATAAATGGTGTTAGGAAAACTGGCTAGCCATATGCAGAAAACTGAAACTGGACCCCTTCCTTATGCCTTATACCAAAACTAACTCAAGATGGATTAAAGATTGAACGTAAGACCTAAAACCATAAATGCCCTAGAAGAAAACCTAGGCAGTGCCATTCAGTAGAAGATGTAAAATCTAAAAGTAAAACTCCAGACCTGCACACATACGCATCCAATTGATGAGATCCAGCCACAAGTTTGATTTCAAGTGGATTCTACGACATCTAACTTTGAGGCTTTAGCTTCTGAGATACAGGACAGAATTTAGAAGTAAGAAAATATCCATCACAGGCCATACCTTTGAAATCTCACTGTTCATATGTTCCTTTCTGTTCATATTTATCTTTTAAGCAGACACAAAAATAGTATCATCTTGTCTCTGCCTAACATGCATCTATTCTTCTTCTAAATAAAGACTTTCTCAGGTTCCCCAAAATAGAAAACTCAAAGTCCTTCCTTTACTGATGTCTGAGTAATGTTCATTTTTTATGACAAATTCACAATTTTCCTTTGGTACTATGTCATTTACAGACTAAATTAGAGGTATGACCACCATTAATGTAAGATTGTAGAAAAATGGTAGGAAAAATGGTTAACATATACAAATATATATACATAACAAAATATTAAAAATATATTCAAAACCACTATAGATCTTGTTTTTTTTTCAACTAGACAACAACTGGTAGTTGTTACATAAAATGTTCTTTCACTACCTATTCTCTATCTTTGCTTTCATTGAACAGCTCAGTTGGCCATGGCTCTTGAGCTTATGTGATAAATAATTTTATTTCTGAATAATCTAAGCCATGCATCATCCTTTCTACATTGTGTTGCCGTGGTCCTTCACTAACATTTACCTGAGGAGATAGAAGTACTGATAGACAATTCAGGGAATTCCCTGAATTTCACAAATATTTAAACTTACTGTTACATTGGAACACTGTAGATAGGGAATACATATCCATATTCTAAGTAAGTGCTAACTGTGTGATAAGAAGATTCTAATGTAATAAAACTACTACCAGGTGAATGCCCAGTTTTTCATGCCAGGTGCAATAGCAGAGGCACAATATTGGC
The DNA here is from genome assembly GCF_000001405.40 of Homo sapiens. Classification (NCBI taxonomy): domain Eukaryota; kingdom Metazoa; phylum Chordata; class Mammalia; order Primates; family Hominidae; genus Homo; species Homo sapiens. The sequence continues at coordinate 66,802,014 of NC_000006.12, read as the reverse complement.
CTCTTACCCTCATAGGTTGGGAATGCAGCACTGAATGTAGCCTGGTCAGGCACAGTAAAAGGAAACCAGTGTTTTTTGAGCTCATACAAAACATTAATCTCATAATCTTATTGTTAGTTAGTCCACAAACCCACTGGCCAAGCATTAGTGTGGCAGAAGACTGACTGGCATTCTGAGAATGGGTTAGCCTCTTTACCCAATTCTTATAAGTTGCATATGCACTAAATGCACTTTAATGAGAATTTATATGAATAAAGTAGTTGTGCTTACATGTTATGTTCATTGTCTTCTCCAGAATTCCTTGTCATGAATCTCCTAATTTTGCTTTTCTTGTCCCCACTCCACCCTCCGATTTATAACCATCATTCCCACCCAAAGGTTTTGGTAACTAATCCCATAGTATTGTTTTTTATAGGCAATTTATTCCAGGTAATTACAAGAGATGTTTTAAGTAACTATTGTTCCGTTGCATACAATAGATGTCCAGTGTGCCAAATTATTTTAGCATTATTTTATTTTAGCATAATTACACTCTTCAAATCTAATCATCTTAGAATTAATTCTAGTACCTAATTCTGTACCAGTCAGTCAGAAAAAAACAGATAGTTTTCTTAGTCCCTTCATGCTGCTGTAACAAAATAGCTTAGATTGAATAATTTTTTTTAAATCAGAAATTTAATTCTTACAGTTATGGAGACTGGACAGTACAAAATTAAGGCACCAGCAGGTTTGATATCTGGTAAGCACTCTCTACCTCCAAGACAGAGACTTCTTGCTGCACGTGGAAAGGGAGAAAAAAACAACAAAAAACAAACAAAACCCAAATGAATGAAGCGTCCTCACACTGTAGAAAAGATGGATGGAGTGACAGCTCTCTGAAGCCTCTTTTATCAGGGCATTAATCTTAAAAGCGGAGCTCTCATAACTTAATAACTTCTGAGAAGGCCCTACTTCTTAACACTAATGCATCGGAGACTAAGTTTTAACGTGAATTTTGGAGGATCACAAGCCTCCGAAGAATAGTAGTATTTAAGCTATTTAAAGGAAGAATAGGTTTAACTCAGGGAAATACAGGGTTACACAAAAGTCTGAAGGTTGGGAAGCAAATATTATAGGAACTGCTTTCAGAGAAAATGGTTACTAATGGAGGCCACCTCTAAGGTTCTCAGGTACCCAGAATACTAAAGTAATAATTAAGTGGTGTGCAAAAATGGCTTGAAAGCACTACCAGAGAATAATGGCTACTCCTTATCCCTATATCTTCCAGATACAGCATGAGTGACTTTTATTGGAGTATATCAAAAGAAATCCTGCTGGCAACGAGGCCTGGGAAGTGTGCTTTTCAGGTTTCACTTCCCTGGGGTACATGAGAAAACATAGAATTGCAGGTTGATGATTATTTATTAAGTCAAATATTACATTGGCAGATGCAAATTGACTACTTATATTTTTATTATTTGTTCTACACTTGTATCTTGGCATTCATGTATAAAGAAGAACTTTCCCTACCCCATCCCATAACTGTATCAGTAAACAATCATGAGTTATTTTTAAAATCCAGTCTGTGAAAATTCATTACAGTCATTATTCCTTTTGATTTCAAAATTGTGCCAAAATTAAGAATAAGAGTCAGCTCTTGTGTCTCTTTGAATTGTTACCATTTGTCCATGAGCATTTCTTTGTTTTCTGAAAGAATAAGGTGTTTCATGCTCATTTTGTACTTTCCTTGTACCAAACCTGGGCCATGTAATAGAAAACAGTGTTTAAAAGTCAAATTCTGGCTGTTAATGCATTCATGAAAATTGGAATTTTATGGTTTTAAATTTTCTACCATGAGTAAAGATGAAATATATGAATATTTAATCTGAAAATGAATATGATAATTTTATTAAAAACCAAAATTACAAGTTCCTCAAGAAAAGAAAAAAAGACAGTGAGTTTATTCTATATTAAAACCATGTAAGAGCCATGACACCAAGTGCAATGGAGGATCTTTAGAAAATTATGGATTGCAAAAGATAACAAATAATCAAACATCTCATGTACCCCATAAATGTGTACATTTACTATGTATCCATAAAAATTAATAAAATAAAATTAAAAATAAAGAAGAAAATTTAACTATGATAAAAAAGAAATTTGAATATGATATCTATAAAATAAAATATTTCTGTGTCATTGCAATGAAAATGATATAAGGTTAGATAGAAGAAGATTGTTCTTGATATCTAAAAATAAACCTGTTTAAGTAGTTGCTATTATAGTACAGCGTTATGATGTCTACAACTTTTTTCAAATTGTTTAACAAACACACGTATATATATATACCCTCATATAAAGTGAGAAAATTAATATAACAGGCATTAACAATTGTTATTATATTGTTATATTTTTGTGTATTATTGTATTGTTATTATATTGTATTAACAATTGTTGAAAATTGTTGTATATTGAATTAACCATTGTTGAAAATAGGTGAAATTATACTGCTTATCTTTGTTCTATTTTTCAACTTCTTTATGTTTCCTGAATTTCTCAAAATAAAAAGATGAAGAAAAAAGAGTAAGGCATCTCTTTATTCAATGACATAGAAAGATTCCCAAGATATATCATTTAATGAAAAATATATGCTTTAGGACAGTTTGCAAAATATGTCACCATTAATTTACCAATACAAAATATGTCAATAATTATATGGTTTTCATCTATCTTACATAGAACCATTGCCTTCAGAGAATGAATACATACATTGAGGAAAAATATATCAAAATCACAAAGTGGCACATGTATTTGGAATTAAATTAGTAATATCATTGGTAGGTATAATGGAAAGCATAATTCCATTCCATTATTAGGTTAAAAAAGGTAAACAAAGCTTTAATTCTATAATCTAGTGTTTAGGAAAGCATAGAACTATTAACAAGACTACTCACTGTATTCTAGTTCTAGAACAATAAAAATGATTAGCAAAAATTCATATGACTTAAGTACCATGTGCATGTTTATTTTTCAGGTGAGAAGATTGAGGCACATAGATGTTAAGTAACTTGTTCAAAAATCACACAGATAGTAAATGGCATGATTCCAATTCAGGGTTTATTTATGAAGTTAATTCTATGCTACTATTCTAAATGGCTACGTTAGCTATTTGCTTCCTAACCAACTTACCAATTATATCAGATTCAATACACTGCATTATTAATGTGTTTTTCTTCTCTTTTTCTAGTTAAGTCAAGGTATAAGCACATAAAATTACATATATTTAAGGTGTACAATGTGATGTTTTGATGTATATACACATTGTGAAATAATTGCCAGAATCAAATTAATTAACATCTCCATTACCTCAAAGAGTTACCACTTTTTGTGTGTGTATAGTAAGAGCACTTCTCTGCTCTTAGAAGATTTCAAGTGTACAATACAGTATTATTAATGATAGTTTTCAGATGTACATATTTCATTTAAAATATTTTAAAATAGAAGTTCAAAATCATTAAAAAGCCAGTGAATATGAGCAGTCATCATTGACACATGAAATTTTGAAATAAGATATTTTAAGACCATAGCTGTCTATTGGAGAAAAAAAAACATATTTTTAAGGAACTACCTAGAGTTTTAAAAATCATATGTCATCTAACCTTCAAAGTTGTCAGTGTTTCTAATGTAGTGTCACATATGCTGTAGGTTTAGTAGGTCTCTGTTGCTTCTATGGTTGTAATTATATAAATATAAAAAATAAAATATTTATCATCTAAAAATCTGCTCCTCTTACAATGTTGCTTCTCCAAATCATAATATTAAGCAACACTGTTAGTCATTTCAACTGCTGATTAATTAATTAATTGCCAAAATTACAGAAGAAAACTTAATATCTGAGGAGCAGTGTATGTAAAGGTGCTAAAAATCGTTTTCAAAACAAACCTACACAATATAAACAAATTCAAGGTTGTGAAGCTTAAATGTTTATTTACAAATAATGATCGTTTCTAACTGTTTACTCAAAATCCATTTTCCCTTCCTTTCCTGTGGAAAAGATTGCCTAGGTAGAGACCATATCTGTGAACCTTTAATACATCTAGGTATGGTCAGGTTAATATATTGTTGCCTTTGGTCTGTGAACCAGTAACATCCAGTCAGCCCTTGGATGGAGTCAGGACAAAGGTTTCTTCTGGAATGGAGTTTAAATATGTTTTTTTAAACAGTCTGTAATGTTCTTCCTTATGTAAATCATGAAATAAGCTACCAAAGTAAGATATATTTTTTACTTGTACCCTCTAAGGAATCGTGGCAAATACAACATTAAATCATTTCCACAGATATTCTTGGAAAAACTTCCATGGATGGTGCTTCTAATAAATATTGGAAAGCTCAAAATATATTCCAGAGCTCTGAGAATCAGCTAAAATAGGGGTCCTAAACCCCAGGGCCGTGGACCTGTGCTGGTCCTTGGCATGTTAGGAACCTGGATGCACAGCAGTAGGTGAGCGATAGTTGAGTAGGAAAGCTTCATCTGTATTTACAGCCACTTCCCATTACTGGCTTTGCTTCCTGAGCTCCAACTCCTGTCAGGTCATCGGTAATGACATTAGATTCTCATAAGAGCGCGAATTCTATTGTGAACTGCACCTCTGAGGTATCTAGGTTGTGCTTTGCTTATGAGAATCTAATGCCTGATGATCTCAGGTGGAGCTGAGACAGTGAATCTAGCACTGGGGAGCAGCTGCAAATACAGATTAACATTTGCAGAGAGGCCTGGCTGCACCGAGACCATAATAAATCAATTGCTTGCAGACTCATATCAAAACTCTATCAGCGAGTGGCAGGTGACAAGCTGCATCTAGTGACAGGTTTTAGAGTGGCAAGTGAGTTGATATACTTCAATTATGCAGCTGCATCTGGTTGGCAGGCTTTAAGTCAGAAGCTGACAGTTATTTTAGTCCACACACGACCTGCTCATTATTTTCTTCACTGCTTCCATGGGCACCCCTTTTTCACACTACACACTTGTCTCAGTCACAGTTTTGGTAAGTCCACAAACTAATCCTAGCCAAAATAAATGGAAAACAATCATTACTGGAGAGCTTATTTGAAAAGGGGGAAAGACCAATGATAAGACAGCAGAAAACCCTAAGGCTGCCAAGAAAAAGAAAGATGCATTTAAAAGAAAATACCAAGAGTCCTACTTAAATTATGGGTTCACCATAACTGTTGATTCACATTCTCTCAGCCCGTTTTGTATAATATGTGGTGACTGGCTATCCAAGGAAGTCATGAAATGTTCAAAACTGCTTCACCACAAGGAGACCATGCACCTTGCATTAAAAGACAAGCCTTTGAAGTTTTTCAAAAGAAAAAAAATATGCGAATACAAAGAACAGAAACAGTTATTGAAGACCACCACTTCACCAAATGTGTCTTCACTGACAGCATCATTCTCTAGTGGCTAACTGCATTGCTGAAGCTAAGAAGCTCTTTACTATTGGTGCAGAGTTGATCCTGCCTGCTGCTAAGGACATTTGTCCTGAAATTTTAGGAGAGGCTGCAGTTCAAAAGGTGGTATGTTTTCCTCTTTTGGCTAGCACCATAACTGGATGAATTGATGAAATGGTGGAGGATATTGAGGCACAATTGTTAGAGAGGATTAATGAGTAACCGTGGTATACAACTCAGGTTGACAAATCTATAGACGTTCACAAGGCAACAATGCTTGTTTTCGGGAGGATGTACATGATATTATGTTATGTGCATTTTTGTGGCCAACAAACACCACAGCTGCAGAACTACTCAAGTTTTTGAATTATTACATATCAGGAAAATTGAACTGGTTATTCTCTGTTGGTATATTCATGGAAGGAGTGGCTGCCATGGCTGGACGGCTTTCTGGTTTCACTACTCCGGTCAAAAAGGGCACTTCTGAATGTGAGTCTACACCCTGTGTTATCCCTATAGACAGGCTGGCTAGCCAAAAAATGTCACGTGAACTTAACAACAGTTTGCAGAATCTGATTAAAATTATCAGCCATATTAAAGTACATGCCCTTAACTCGTGTGTATTCATGTAGCTCTGTGAGGAGATGGACACAGAGTACACATGTTTTCTCTTATACTCAGAAGTGAGATGGCTTTCTAAAGGCAGACTACTGGTCAGAGTTTTTGAGTTCTGGGAGCCACTCCAGATTTCTTTTATTTCAGAAAAGCAGTCACCACTGGCAACACATTTCATTGACACAGAATGGGTCGCAAAACTTGCTTACTTGTGTGACATATTCAACCTGCTCAACAAACTCAATCTGTCACTTCAGGGGAGAATGGTAACTGTGTTCAAGTCAGCAGACAAAGTGGCAAAGCCAAACTAAAATTATGGGGAGACAGGTGAACATTAGGATTTTTTATGAGTTTCAAACCTCAGCAGAGATTTTGAAAGAGACGGAGCCTGTGCCTTCTTTTTTCCAGCTGCTGCATGATAATCTCTCTCAGCTTTAAAAGAGTTTGAGCATTACTGCTTAACCACAGAAGACTCCTGAACTGGGAAGAAAGGGATCGTGACCCATTTGTGAATAAGCCAGGTAAGTCGACTTTGTTCATGCTAGAAGGGGATCAACTGCTTGAGATTGCGAATGATGGTGTCCTTAAAAGCCTGTTTGAGAAAACTTCAAATCTCCATTTTTCTGGATTAAAGTCAAAACGAAATATTCTGAGATTTCCACAAAAGCACTGAAAAGTGCTTCCATTTCCAACATTTCCTTCTTCCATTTCCAACATCATATCTTTGTGAAGCAGGGTTTTCCAGTGACAGCAACCAAAACAAGATTACAGAGTAGACTGGACATAAGCAAGACACTTCGGGCATCTCTGTCTCCCATCCCTCCCAGATGGGACTGTCTAGTTGCAAGAAAACAATCTCAGAGCTCCCAGTCATTCTACAATATGGCGACTCATATAATTATTTCAATGTAATATTATTACAATGTAATAATAATGGAAATAAAGTGCAGAATAAATGTAATGTGCTTCAATCATCACAAAACCATTTCCTGCCCATCCCCTTGGTCCCTAGAAAAAATGTCTTCCACGAAAGTGGTCCCAGTGTCAAAAAGTTTGGGGACCATTGAACTAAAAGACTCAACAAAGAAAACCCCATTAGAGGAAGTATAGGATATACATCAATAGACTTAAAATCTCCCAAAGGGACAAGGGGAAAAATATATTTAAGAGGTCATGAAATAAATATATGAAATATAAAGAAAAAAATTCAAGAACAAAAATATAGACTTTTTTTGGTAAAACGAATAGTTTGCATAAAACCATAGACTGGGTGGAGATGAAGAAAGAATATCTAACTGGAGAGAAAGACTTTGTAAAGTTTCCCAAGCTTGGCAAAGAGAAATGAGATACAACATTTGAAAGTTAATCAAACACATCATAGATTGAGTATCTCCAACCTTTTCTGTAAACATTTCTATTGATATGCAATACTTGCTACACATCAACGGGGTACATGTGGTATATTGATACATGCATACAATATGTTATCAAATCAGAGCATTTAGGATACATCATCTTGAATATTTATTATTTCTTTGTGTTGGGAACATTTGAAACTTTCTTTTTTGAATATTTTGACATATAAATAAGTTGTCGTTAACTATAATCACCCTACTGTACTAACAAGCAATATAAACTATTCCTTCCATCTAACTGTGTTTTTATTTATTAACCAAGTTCACTTCACCCCTTGCACCCAACCTAGCCTCTTGTAACTATTATTCTACTCTCTACCTCTATGAAATTGTTTTTTAGCTTCTACATATAAGTGAGAACATGAAATACTCAGCTACGTGTGTCTGGCTTATGTCACTTAATGAAATGGCCTCTAATTCCATGTACGTTGCTGCAAATGACAGGAATTTATCCTTTATGTATGACTAAATAGTATCCCATTGCATATATATACTACATTTCTTTATTCATTTATTTATTGACAGACAGGCTGATTTCATATCTTGGCTATTGTAAATAGTGCTGCAATGAACATGCAGGTAAAAATATTCATTTCATATACCCATTTCCTTTCCTTTGGATGAGTACCCAGCAGTGGGCTTGCTGAATCACATAGTAGTACTCTTTTTAGTTTTGTAAGAAACTGCCATTCTGTTCACCATAATGGCAGTACTGATTAATATTTCAATAATGTGTAAGTTTCCTTTTCTCTACATCCTTACCAGCATTTGTTATTTTTTGACGTTTTAATAATAGCCATTTTAACTGGGATGAGATGATAACTCATTGTATTTTTGATTTACATTACCTTGGTGATTAGTGATGTTGAACATTTTTTCATATACCTTTTGGTGATTTTTATTTCTTCCTTTAAGAAATGTGTATTCAGACCCAGCACTGTGGGAGGCCAAGGAGGGCGGATCACAAGGTCAGGAGATTGAGACCATCCTGGCCAACTTGGTGAAACCCTGTCTCTACTAAAATACAAAAAAATTAGCCGGGTGTGGTGGTATGTGCCTGTAGTCCCAGCTACTTAGGAGGCTGAGGCAGGAGAATCACTTGTGCTTGGGAGGTGGAGGTTGCAGTGAGCCAAGATCGCATCACTGCACTCCAGCCTGGCGACGGGGCAAGACTCCATCTAAAACAAAACAAAACAAAACAAACAAACAAACAAACAAACAAAAAAGCTATTTCGATCATTTGCTTACTTTTTAATAGGATTATTTGGATTATTGTGGTCGAGTTGTTTGAGCCCTTTGAATAACTTGGGTATTAGTCCTTTGTCAGATGAATATTTTGCAAGTATATTTTCCCATTCTGTAGGTTGACTCTTCATTTTGTTGTTTCTTTTGCTAGGCAAAAGGTATTTAGTTTAAAATAGTCTTATTTTTCTACTTTTATTTTTATCTCATGTGCCTTTGAAGTCTGAATCACACATTCTATGCCTATACCAATGTCCTGAAATATTTTTCCTTTTTCATTCTGGTAGTATAATAGTTTGGGGTCTTCTGTTAGAGTCTTTAATCCATTTTGAATTGAGTGTTGTGTATGGTGAGGGATAAGGGTTTGATTTCATTCTTCTGCATATGGATATCCAGTTTTTTCAGCATCATGTGTTGAAGAGAGTGTTCTTTCCACCAAGCATAAAAGCAGTTTGAGATCTTTTGCAGTTTCATAAAATTTTAGAATTTCTTTTCTATTTCTGTGAAGAATGTCATTGATATTTTATAGGGATTGCATTGATTCTGTAGATTGCTATAGACAGTATGGTCATTTTAACAATATTCATTCTTGTGATCCATGAGCATTGATTGTATACATTTGGGTGTTTTCTCCTCAATTTTTTTCATCAGTGTTTTGTAGTATTCCTTGTAAAAGGCTTTGACTATCTTGGTTATTTCTTTCTAGTTATTCTAGTTATTTTTTTTCATAGCTATTATAAGTGGAATTTGCTTTTTGATTTCTTTTTAGCTAGTTTATTATTGGTGTATAGAAAGGCTACATATTTTTATATGTTGATGTTGTATCCTGCAACCTTACTGAATTTCATTATCAATCCTGTTATTTGGTGAAATCTTCACGTTTTCTATTTAAAAAATCATGTCATCTGCAAAAATTGACAATTTAATTTCCTTATTTCTAATCTGGATGCCTTTTATTTCTTGCCTGATTGCTCTGGCTAGGACTTCCAGTACTGTGTTGAATAAGAATGGTGAAAATGAGCTTACTTTTGGTGTCCCAGTTCTAACAGGAAAGGCTTTCAGCTCTTTCCTGTTCAGTATGATGTTAGCTATGGGTTTGCCATAGATGACCTTTATTATTTTGAAGTGAATTTTTTTCTACATCTAATTTATTTAAAATTTTATCATGAAAGGACCCTGAATTTTATCAATTGCTCCTTCTATGTCTATTGAGATGGTCATATGATTTTTGTCTATTATCCTGTTGATGTGATATATCACATTTATCAATTTGCATATGTTGATACACCCTTTCCTCCCTGGAATAAATCCCATTTGATAGAAATGTATTCTCTTTTGAATGGTATTGTTGGATGGATTCATTATGCTAGTATTTTGTGGGGATTTTTGCATCTACATTATTAGGGATATTGGCCCCAGTAATAAAACCATTTTTGTTTTTTGTTGTGTCCTTCTCTGGCTGTAGTATTAGGGTAACAGTGGCCTCATTGAGTTAATTAGGGGAAAAATTCCTCCTTTTCAATTTTTTGTAATAGTTTGAGAAGCATTAACGTTAGTTCTATGTTAAGGGTTTGGTAGAATTTAGCAATTCAGCCATTGGTCCTGGCCTTTTCTTTGTTGGAAAACTTTTTATCACTGAGTCAAATTCATTATTTATTATGTGTCTGTTCAGGTTTTCTGTGTCTTTCAAGTTCAATCCTAGTAAATAGTATGTGTTCAGGAATTTGTTTGCTCTAGCTTTTCCAATTTGTTAGCATATAGTTGTTCATAATCATTCTAATAATCCTTTGTATTTCTGTGGTATCATTTTTAAATGTATTCTTTTTTGTTTCTGATTTTGTTTATTTGGGTCCTCTTTTTTTGTTCTTGGTTGTCTAGCTACTAGTTTATCAATTAAAAAAAAATCCTCCTTTTTTGTCCTGCTGATCCTGTGTATTTTTTTAGTGTCTATTTGTTCCCTTCTACTTTAATCTTTTTTATTTTCTTCTGCTGATTTTCAGTTTGATTTGTTCTTGCTTTTCTAGCACTTTCAAGTGTATCATTAGGTTTTTTGTTTGAAATTTTTCTCCTTTTTTGATGTAGGCATTTATTGTCATAAACTTTCTGTTAGCACTGCTTTTACTATATCCCATACATTTAGATAAATTGTATTTCCATTTTCGTTTGCTTCAAGAAAATTTTATTTTTTTCTTAATTTCTTTATTGTCCCAATTGTTGTTCAGGATCTGTGGTTTAATTTCCTTGTATTTGTACCATTTACAAAATTACTCTTGTTACTGAGTTCTAATTTTATTCCATTGTGGCCTTACTTTATATTATTTTGATTTGAAAAAGTGTGCTAAGACTTGTTTTGTGGATTAATGTATGGTTTATTCTGATGAATGTTCCATAGGCTGATGTACATATATTCTGCAGCTAAAGAAAAGTATTCTTTAAATATCTGTTTGGTCTATTGATCTATAGGGTAGTTTAAAACTAGTGTTTGTTGATTTTCTCTGTAAACGATGTAACCAATGCTGAGAGTCGGTTGTTGAATTCCCCAACTATTATTGTATCAGTCTATCTCTCCCTCTCTTTTTAGATGTAATACTATCTACTTTATATATCTGAGTCCTCCAGTGTTGGGTGCATGTATATTTAGAATTGTTATATATTCTTGCTGGATTGATCCTTTTACTATTATATAATGGCTTTATTTGTCTCTTTTTAGGGTTTTTGACTTAAAGTTTGTTTTATCTGATATGTATAGCTACTCACACTCACTTTTGTTTTTCGTTTTTGTGTAATAATTTTTCCATCCCTTCATTTTCAATCTACGTTTCTTTACAAATAAAGTGAGTTTCTTGTAGGTAGCATATAATTTTTTAACCATTCAGCTAGCCTGCTTCTTTTAAGTGGTGAATTTCATCCATTTACATTCAAAGCTATTGTTGATAGATAAGAACTTATTCTGTCTTCATCTGTCATTTGTTTTATATATCTTTTGTTTCTTCCTTTCCTATTGTTTATCACTGTGGATTGATTGTTTTATATATCTTTTGTTTCTTCCTTTCTTTCCTATTGTTTATCACTGTGGATTGATCATTCTCTGTAGTGATATCATTTGACTCTTCTCCTTGTCCATGTTGTGTTTGTTTTTCCAGTGAGCTTTACTTTCTTGTATTTTCACAATGGTAAGTGTCATTCTCTTACTTCCAGCTTTGTCAGGGCAGTCAACTGGCGGTGAATTCCCTCAGTTTTCAGGAAAGATTTCATTTTTCCTTAATTTTTGAAGAATAGCTTTCTGGGTGTAGTATTCTTGCCAGATAATTTTTGTCTTTCAGCACTTTGAATATATCTTTCCATTCTCTCATGACTTGTACAGTTTCTGCTGAGAAATCTGCTTTTAGCCAGATGGAGATTCCTTTATATGTGACTTGATGCTTTTCACTTACTGTTTTTAGAATTATTTCTTTGTTTTTGACTTTTTACAGTTTGACTATAACTTCCTTGACAAATAAGTTTTGGAGTTGAATATATTTGGGAATCTTTGAGCTTTCTGTATCTGGATGTCTATATCTCTTTCAAGACTTAGCATTTTTTAGCCATTATTTTGTTAAAGAGGGTTTCTATGCCTTTGCTATTTTTCATTCTTTTGGAATTTCCATAATTTAAATATTTGTTCACTTTGTCATTCCCCATACATCAGGAACACCATCTTTTTTTATTCTTTCCTTTTTTTCTCTCTGTGTTATTTAAAAACATCTGTTTTAAAGTTCAGAAATTCCTTTTTTTTCTGCTTTGATATATTTTTGAAGCTCTCCATTATATTTTTGTTTCATTCAATGAGTTTCAGTTCCAGAATTTCTATTCCTTTAATGATATCAATCTGAGATTATAAATTGTTTCCCTGACTTCTTTGTATTGTTTGCATGTTTTTTCTTGTATCTTACTAAACCAATTTAATATTATTTTGAATTATTATTTTAAATTATTTTTATAGATTTCATTTTATTTAAAATCTGTTACTGGAGAATAATTGTGTTTCTCTAAAGATGTCATTTTCTTGCTTTTTTATGTTCCGTGTGTCCTTATGTTGATATCTGTGCATCTGGTGTAACAGTCACTTCTTCCATTTTTATGGATTGGCTCATCGTCAACGTTTTCCTATAGATGTATTTATAGTGTTGGTTGGGTAGTGTTTTGGCTTTGATTCTGGGTTGGTGCAGTAGTATAGTCTTTGAATAATTTCTTATTATATTATATTATATTATATTATATTAATTATATTATATTATATTATAATCTGTGAATCCCTCAGTGGCTTAGGCAGTGGTTGTTAATGGAGGTTATTCCCCAAAAAGCCTGTGCAGGTGCTGCAGTTGTGGATGGGGCAGATCAGTCCCCAGTACCACAGGCTAGGTGCACAGCTGCCAGCAGCTGTGGGCAGGGCCTGCCCTCATATCCCCCAGTGGTGTGCACAGGGGGTAGGGGCAGCAGATGGGATGGGTTGATACCCATTCCCCTGGATGATGTGCTAGGGCAGTGGCAGGGCCGGCAGTGACAGGGCCAGCATTGGCAAGTCAGACCTGTTCTCCATTTGCCTGATGGCGTGTGCAGACAGATCAATTTCCTGGCCCTCAGGTGGGGCACTTGGGTACTGGCAGGAGTGTCCGGTGGCAGCATGGTTTTGTCCTCAGGCTCCCAGATGGCATTCACAGGCATCTCCTGTGCTGGACAGGGCAAGTTGATACCTAAGCCCTCAGACAATGGATATAAGCACCACTGGCAAAGGCTACAGAGTGAGCAGGCTGTTCTCTGCCCCTACTCTCTCATGGTGTGCATGGGCACCAGCTGCAGTTCATAGGGCAGATTGATCACCAGGCCCCTGGATGGCACACTAGGGCATTGGCAGTTCTGAGGGTGGGCAGGGTGAACCTATCCTCAGAGTTCCAGATAATACACATGGAATCCAGTAGCAACAGGGATTGTTGAACCTATTTTCAGGCTCCACTGCAGGTGCATGCTAATGCCATTGGCAGGGGGCATGGCAGGTTAATCCCTTGTCTCCTGGATGGTGGTGGCAGAAGGTGGGCAAGCCTATCCTCAAGCCCCCTGGTGATGCAAATGAGCACCTGCCATGGTCAGCAGAGTGGATCAATCCCCAAGCCTCCACAAGGTGCACTCCTGGCAGCAGCAGTGATGGCGGGAGGTGGAGTGGGTCAATCTTCTGGCTCCCCATATGGCATACATGGCCACCAGCAATGGCAGGCAGGGAGGGCCTGTTTCAGGACACAGAAAGGTGCCTGAATGGGTGGGTATTGAGGACCCTTGAAGGCACGTGTTGTTTATGGGGTCCCTGCTGCTGGGTGGGAGGGAGAAAATAGTGGTTGTTAGCGGTGGCAACAGTCCAAGTCAGGCTCTGGAGAGGGCATATTTTGGCTCATTTAATCCCAGGGGCAGTGTCCCTAGGCTCATTTGATCCCTAGGCTAAAGCTATGGGGATCCAGCTGCTTTGCTGAATCCAGCCAGTGTTGCAATGCTGTGGCCTGCTGGAAGGATGTAGGGAGGTGTCAGTGGGGCTCCAGGGACATGAGGAGGCTGGGGCTACTGGGGTCCAGGGCAGAATATAGTCTGTTAGGGAATAGGCCCTCAAAAGGGCACAGTGCTGCAGCTGCTTGGGTCTCGGTAGAGGTGTGGGACCCAGCTTGATCTACCTCTGAAACAATGCCATTGCATGAATTCCAGGCAGATTTTTATCCTAGTTTCAGGATTCATGAGAGGTGAGGGGCTCTTCCATGGCTGGGATTGCAAGAGTCTCTAGTGGAAATGTGTACCTCTGAGGATTAGTGAAAAAGCAAAAGGATCTCTTCCTTACCTTCTCCTTGCACTGGGGAATTTCTCCTGGCTCTGAGCCAGTCTCCATTAGGCCACTGCTTTACTTCCCTCTCCTTCCATACCTCAGAAGGTCCCTGTCACTTCCCTGCTGAATTGCAGTGTTTCTTAGACACCCTATTTCTTGTGTGATTATCTTCTTGCTTAGATAAATTCCAAAGAAGTTTTGGAAATTCTTTGTGGAGAACGTCAGTGCTGGGCACCTGCAGTCAGCCTTCTTGAAGCTAAGTCTCTCAAACATATTAGTAATTGGTTTCCAGAAGGACAGTAGATGGAGAATCTAGATATAAAATATCTAATATGAAAAGCATGTAAGAATTTCCTCAATTTCCCAAAGCATCATTATTTATGGTAACTTCGAAATGTAATTTGAACGATATATCTCATTCAGTACTAAAGGTATTGCACTATGCTCAGATAATTTTATTACCAATCCTTTCATTTATGATATCAGACAAGCTTTTCTGAATCAATTAACTTTCTTTATCCATGCTTAACCTATGTAAAATGGAAA
Organism: Homo sapiens; assembly: GCF_000001405.40. Classification (NCBI taxonomy): domain Eukaryota; kingdom Metazoa; phylum Chordata; class Mammalia; order Primates; family Hominidae; genus Homo; species Homo sapiens. The sequence continues at coordinate 66,786,924 of NC_000006.12, read as the reverse complement.
TTTAAATAGAAATGTTTTGCTATAGTTAGAAATATGCATGTTAATATTTGGGTTGTTGTTGTACATCTAAAGCAAGTTGTTTTATCAATGTGTATTACAGTTTTTTTGATGTTTGCGTGTTTGTCTGACAAACATTGAAGTACAGCATTCCTTTTCTCCCACTATCCTTAACTCTTCCCATAAGAAATGTAAACTTGGACTGCGGTACCCTCAAAGCTTGTGAGTTTAATCACATATGGCCCTAAGTGTTTGATAAATACCTGCAATTTATGTCTACATTGTGGATATATTAATTATCTAGACTAGGCAGAGTTCCTTCAAATTATCTAGGAAACCACTAAACCAAATCATCCTTAGAATGTGTCCTCAGTGGATTGTGTCTGGCTCTTGTGAATGAAATGAGTGGTTGTCTATTGTTCTTGTCCTTTAGAATTGAAAAGTAACTGTACTTTATCAACAAATTTCAGCTGAAAAAGTAGTTTTAAGTAAGTAAAAATACAGTCTCCAGTACAACATGGTTACATAACCTACTACTAAAATAATTAACTGGTGAACCACAATTTGGTCCTGACTCTCGTGGCTTTAAGACATCTTTCTTAAATTTCATTAATATGCATTACCAATTACTAAATAATATTTATATGTTGGAAAAGATATTTAAATGTCATCATAGGCCAGTGTTCAATATCTCTTATATATGTGCCAAAGCATATCATAAAATTACATTCTCTCTGGAAAACTCAGAGAGCCCCCAGGTATCCCTGTCACTCTCTCTCCATCTGCCATTCTACCCTATTACTTGATACTTTCTGTGTACCACCATTGTGGAACCTCTGTCCCTCTGTTACTAAATCTGCTCTGATCACTCCCTCCACTTAGGCAGCAAGAGGGCTAGGACCGTGTTCCTGATATCAAGTATGTCCTTAAAAACATGCAGGACAGACTACACAGTGCCTGTAGAGATTATTGTTTTCTTATTTGGTGTTTGCCTTTTTTGTGGGGTGATTGTGATTTTCTAGAGGTAAAGTCTTCATGAAGTGGACAATGCTCTGAGACATTATGAAAAAAATTGAGTTTTCATTGAGAAGAATATGGCTGGAGCCATTTTAACTTCACTAGTTTTTAATTCTATGCATTGCTTCTCTGATGTCCTTTCTTTGGCCTAACGTTTGTGTTTCACTTTTAATCTCAATTAAAGAGAAGAAGTGAATAGACAGAAATCTGTTCAATTTTGACTAGAGATCCATTTTTGGTTCATTTAACACAAGTGCATAGTAAGTCATATTCTCATGGATTAGAGTGAAAGGACAATAGACCATATTTTTTAGTTCATTTAGCACAGTGTATAGTAAATAATGTCCACATGGTTCAGATGAAATCAGGATTAAATTTTCATTATATTTGTGACACCTTTACAATTAATAAGTCTATGTAATTAATAAATCTTTTTCCAAATCATATGCTAAATCTATTGTCTATATGTATAAAACCCCATGAGTTCTGCCTTTGGAAATTAAAAAAAAAAAGAAACAAAACAGAAACATATTAAGCCAAAGAACATTTTAGAAGAAAAAACAGATAAATAATTCATGTGTCAAATTTGTAGATATTCTTTCACAAGTCTCACTCTGTCGCCCAGTCTGGAGTGCAGTGGCGCGATCTCGACTCACTGCAACCTCCGCCTGCTGGGTTCAAGCAATTCTCTGCCTCAGCCTCCCGAGTAGCCGGGATTATAGATTCCCACCACCACGCCTGGCTAATTTTTGTGTTTTTAGTAGAGACGAGGTTTCACCATCTTGGCCAGGCTGGCCTTGAACTCCTGACCTCATGATCTTTCTGCCTCGGCCTCCCAAAGTGCTGGGATTACAGGCGTGAGCCACTGCGCCCGGCCAATATTCTTATAAAGAAAAAGGTGATATGAAGCAGATAACTGAGGTCAATGAGAAAGACTCTTGACAAATTAAAAGAGCACTTATTGATTTAACTCTAGACTTTCTAATAAAAGAAAATTTTATAAGCTTTACTGTATATGCCAGGAGATGTGAGATTTAAATATTCTTTCTATTTAATTTCCTTTGAATTTTCAGTTGTTTCCCAAAAGAAGCAGAGCTTGTCTATTTATATATCTTAAATAAATTTATATGCTACATTTTACTTCTATTAGAACCACATCAAAATTTACCAGCCAGCAACCCTTTTTTCTCTCTCTCTTTAGTAGTACATAAATTTAAATAACAATAAAATCTGTGTTCTTGGAATAGCAGATTCATGAGATGAGACAACAAAAATACTTTTCCCTTTGTATCACAACTACTGTTACCTAGAGTCTCTAAGCTAAGAAGATGTGAAATACACTAAATTTCCTTAACGACTAGGTCTCAGGTAGATCTTTATATTTGGCAGATGAATCTGGTAATCACATGCAAAACATGGTAGCATATTCAAAAATGTTAATCAAATGTTATTACAGGTTCTGTTGTCTAATTATGCAATCAGTCAAATATTTCACTCTCAGGATAAAACGTAAAGCAAACTGATCATAGGAAAAAAGTAAGATAGTGAGGACAATGGTCTCATGCAAAGTGCTCGTGGTAGGTAACCCTCCACTAATGAGGAAAATTTGCCCCAAGAATAAAATCAGTTTTTAAAAATATACTTTCTAAGAAAAAAAGAGATTGGTCATACTTGATTAAAATATGCACTGGTAATGTATCTAACAATGAGCAATAATGAATATTGTACTTGGCAGAGTTCACAGTTAGCAAAACTTCCCATACTCTTTCTTGCTAATTGTGTTGATACTTAGCAGTTTTCACTTACATTGGAAAAATTTTCAGTACCCACAATTTTTGAGAAATAAAAAATGTTTAAGCCAGAAAAGAAAATAAGCTAAAAATCAGATTACATTTCTTATTAACTTTTACTGTGGAAGGAAAACAGATGGTTGAAATATTAAGGCCTTACTCAGTATCTGTTCACTGCAAGAGCTCAGAGCAAATTCTGAGTAGATATACTAGTATTTATGTGCTTTAGTGTAATAATAGCTTTAGGAAAGCAATTCAAAGAACCTGAGGGAGGTGAACCAATGAGCCTCTTGATTTTTATTTATTGCACAGTAGAGAATGACCACAGATGGGAAAAGAAAACATGTATTTCCTGCAGGGTAAAGAAAATGAAAGAGCCAGAGAATTTCTTAATCGTCCACAAGGCCAATAGATAGAGCTTAAATTTTGACCAACATGTATCTTCTAATATTAGGAATGAATTGTTCACATAATATAAGTGCATGTTCACACACACACACACACACAAAAACTGAGCAAGACTTAAAACTTCCGTGTTATAAACAAAGTCTTATATTTTGTTGAATTAATAAACTTTTAATGAGTGATAAAATTTATAGACAGAGTGAGATAGTGATATGCTTATGGCACAGAATGTCCAGATTCCTCTTTAGAGATATTAAATGTAATAATTCTGTTCCTCAGTTTCCAAATATAGCATGATAACAAATTTTGTACGATTTTTGTTTAAATAAACATATGTCTTATTTGTGCTTCCAATGCACCAAAATAATTGCTACTTTAAACTCAGATTTTTTAGATATTGTGATACCAGGGCTACGGCAAGGTTTTGTCCTTAATGAAGTTGTGAAGCTGCTGGGGAAATGCAGTGGTCATGTCTCATTGTCCCACTCTAGTGTTACCTCACATTGCCATTCTTTTGCCTCATACGTTCTTTGAGATGCAGTGGCCCTGTGTTAATTTGGGGTCATTCGTGGGACATAATACTCTGTAGTGAATCTGGGACATTTAGTACCTAGAATACATTTTACCTGTGTGTGAAATTAAGCCATTACCCTTTGAGAACTTGGAATCTCCCAAGACACTGCCTAGGCTTCTAGTGCTTACAGAACTCATTGTCTTCCGTATTCCCTGTCCAAGTGTTCTCTAAAGAACATTAACACTTCAGAATATCCTTCAAGTCAGGGTTTTTGGCCTTTTGTGTGCCTGCTATAGACTCCTTTGGCATTCTAATGATATATATATATCATTATATATATATTTGTGTATATATATGATATTATATATACACAAATGGATACCATCTCAGAATGCTATAAATACATTCTCAGAAACAAAAAGGCCAATTATATTGAAATGCATTATCAAAATATTATGAACATATTTGTGTATGATACACAAATATGTTTATATATATCTATATATAGATATAGATCTATAGATATATAGATATATCAATGATATATATATATTTCTAATGATATGATATATATATCATTATATATAATATCATATATATACACAAATGGATACCATCTCAGAATGCTATAAATACATTCTCAGAAACAAAAAGGCCAATTATATTGAAATGCATTATCAAAATATTATAAACATACTTGTGTACGATATAATCTGAGCACTTCCACAAACACATTAATGAATATGATTGATATAGAGATAGAGCTAGTAAATCTGATGATTCTGAAGTAGTAACAATCATCAAGATTATTTTCAGGTCAATGTAATTTAAATTGGTAATAAAGTCCCAAATACTGCTAGTACTGTTTAGATTTGTTTCTACATTCACAATGGATATAAATGCTAAATAGTAGTCAGGGATAAGTGGGAAAAAATTAAGATTTACAAAATGATGTTCACAGAACCCCTAAATTCTCATCTGTAGGCACCAAGTTAAGAATCTTCTCTTTATATGATTTTTGTTTTTACAAAATACAAAAAGAATTACAAACCTCCTCTTGTGTCATTGTACCACTCCAAAAATTTTACCTGAGTTAAGGTATTGCAAAAGCTGGTTTTCTGAGTAATCAGTGAAAAGAGAAAATAAAATGAAGATAATTCAATGTACTACTGCATGATATATATATATATATATATATATATATATATATATACACAGACATAAAATATATATATTTATATATACATATAATATGTATTACTGCATGATATATACACATATAAATATATATACTATATAATATTAAATATATATATTTTTTTCAGATCCAGGCCTCCACCCACCCTCCTCCCTTCAAAAAGTAATCCCTCTGTTGCATATCACTAAATTCGGAAATACGTCAGACACATGAATACAAATAAATCCTTATAAATGGACAAGGGAACAAGCAAAGTTTAATAATCCTCACTCAGTTCAGTACTGTTGCATAAACCATCACAATTCCCATATCTTCCCAATTTTCAAGGTGTTTCTTTCTCATTATTAGTTACAGCACCCAGAGGAGTCATTTGTTTGTGTCAGACTTCTCTGAGCACCACTCCCACGTAGACTGCAGCTCATCTTATTCTGATGTGGATTCTCGATCAGCATCATCTTCTCAAGGCTTTGACGTTTGGTTTTCATAAGCTATATTTTGTCCTCTGCTGCCAGAATCATTGTCTCCTGCTCCACGTTATTCTTTTTTGTTTGTTTTTAAATTTTTTATTTTTTATTTTCGTGGGTACATAGTAGTTATGTATATTTTTGAGATGCATGACATATTTTCGTATAGGCACCCCATGCATAATAATTGCAACATAGAAAATGGGGTATCAATCTCCTCATGCATTTATCCTCAGCGTTACAAAACATTCAGTTAAAATATTTTCGTTATTTTAAATTGGGCAATTAAATTATTTTTACTAGAGTCACCCTGTTATGCTCTCAAGTACTAGGTATTATTCATTCTAACTATTTTTTTAACCTATTAAACATCCCCACCTCCCCTCAACCCCCCACTACTCTTCCCAGCGTCTAGTAACCATCCTTCTACTCTCTTTCTCCATGTGTTCAATTGTTTTGATTTTTAAATCCCACACATAAGTGAGAGCATGCAATCTTTTCTTTCTGTGCCTGGTTTATTTCACTTAATAGAATGACCTCCAGTTCCAACCACGTTGTTGCAAATGAAAGAATCCCATTCCTTTTTAGGGATGAATGGTACTCCATTTTATATAAGTACCACATTTTCTTTCTTTTTAAAAAAAATACTTTAATTTCTGGGATACATGTGCAGAACGTGCAGGTTTGTTATTCTTGCGAACATTCACATCTCTGACCACAGAGAGGTATCAAGAAGGAGTGACATTACAGCTTATTTAGAGTCTGCCATTATCATGGTCCAAGTCTATAATCAGGAAGGCCTTCTTTTTAGTCATACTCTCCTGATTACACTTCAATTACTTGTACATTTAGTAAGTGTCATCCTGACATAATATGGGCCTTTGGAAGTCAACTCATGCCTTGCATATGTTACAAGCATGGAATTGCTTTGAATGTTCAGAACCCTCATGCCAATCTTGGTGTTCCACTTCCTCCAATATAATTAATCTCTGTTTCTTCTCCATAGGACCGTTCTCCACTTAGGTATATGGAAGGGCACAGAGTTGTCACTAAGTCTGGTGAGTTCCCAGTGAGAGGTCTCAATATTCATACTTTTTTTCTAGATGAAATGTATCCTAATTTTCTGCTTAATTTAGTATCCCATGACAGCCTGTCTACTTTTCTCTGAAATATAGATGGAAGTTAAATTTGATGTGAAGTGGAGTGAAGTGGATGCTATGGATAGAGTTGAGAAAGAGGAAATAAAAATGTCAGCTCTAAGAATACTCAAGCCAAGGTTACTTTCTCCACCAAAAATAAATGTGAAGAAATAAAGAGTTGATGTTGAGAATATATTGCATCAACAGTTGATGTCAGATTTTTACTCATTTCTGTTATATTCCTTGGTTTGAGATCATCACAGAATCAACAGTGGGGAATTTTTAATAGACCTTTTAATTGCTTTTTTTTTTTCAATAGACAGTGCAAAGTTTTTTCCAAAGATAAATGTAGGAGCTAAGGAATGTGTATATAATCAAATGATACTGAATGAAGAGAAAGAATTTGAATGTAAAAGTGAGAGGTGAAGCCAGCTGGGCTTCTGGGAAGGGTGGGGACTTGGAGAACTTTTCCATCTAGCTAAAGGATTTTAAACGCACCAAACAGCACTCTGTGTCTAGCTAAAGGTTTTTAAATGCACCAATCAGCACTCTGTCAAAACAGACCAATCAGCACTCTGTCAAAACGGACAATCAGCTTTCCGTAAAATGGACCAATCAACTCTCCGTAAAATGAACCAATCAGCAGGATGTGGGTGGGGCCAGGTAAAGGAATAAAAGCAGGCCACCAGAGCCAGCAGGGCAACTCGCTCAGGTTCCCTTCCACAGTGTAGAGGCTTTGGTCTTTCACGCTTTGCAATAAATCTTGCTGCTGGTCACTCTTTGGGTCCGTACCACCTATATGATGTAACACTCACTGTGAAGGTCTGCAGCTTCACTCCTGAAGCCAGTGAGACCACGAACCCACTGGGAGGAATGAAAAATTCCGGACACGCCATCTTTGAGATCTGTAACACTCACTGCAAAGGACTGCAGGTTCACTCCTGAAGTCAGTGAGACCATGAACCCATCAGAAGGAATAAACTCTGGACATGTCTGAACATCAGAAGGAACAAACTCTAACACACTATCTTTAAGAACTGTAACACTCACCTTGAGGGTCTGTGGCTTCATTCTTGAAGTCAGCAAGACCAACAACCCACCAATTCCAGGCACAAAAGTACTCAGTTTTGGAAAAATAAAATAGAGAGTCAGAGTACTGCCTGATGGTTCAACACGAAGTAAGCCAAGATGAATTGCTTAGCCTTTAGTTATGTCTTTTATTTTTTATAGAATGATTCTCTTTTATAACTTCTAGGCTTTTATGGCTTTTCATTTACTAAAAGCAGCTCATTTTCTACATAGAAATTTTATTAACTCTAGCCCAAACTGAGAAGAGAAGGTGCTAAAACCTATCAAATATATATTCAATAGTGTCTCCATGATATATGTGAAATACCACAAACTAACACGTCTATGGGGCAGAAAGCATCTTTTGCTTCATAAAAGGGGAGGTCATGGATGTGGACAATCTCTTTGTCAAATTGTTACTTTGAATTTTTTTAATATTAGAAGAATTTGGAACTAGAATAAGGGAGGGGAAGTGCAAAAGAGCACTCTCTGCCAACGTAAGATGTTCTTAGGTGACCATGATTCAGAAGTTGTAAGGCATAGTGTCCAAAAAAAGTCACAACTAATGGCAGAATCATGGGGCTATAGACCCCTAGAGTTCAAAGACCTGTCATCTGCCTCCAGATTATTTGCTCCTCTCAGCTTGAAATTTTTCAGCCAATGAGTACATGACCAAAGTTAAAAAATAAAATTTTATAAAGGTTATATGGCTATTTAAATGAGTAAAAATTAATGTATTTTAAATGTTGATACTGCAAAAATATTTTTTCTCTTGAAATTTGATACGTCTGCTCAGGAAGAATGACCAGAGTTAAAGAGGGACATTAAAAACAATTATTAGTCGATGCAATTATAAAGACCAAAACTAACAATTAGTTACATAGGGAGAAAATTAAATATTTTACAAGTATTATAAAGGTACCACTGATTAATCTTAAAGGAAAAAATAGCATGGATTAACATTTTATCGGAAGTTTTCTTATAAGTTCAGAAAGTCACATACCTAATACTATTAAATGTTGTCCATAGAGGTTTTTTTTTTTTTTTTTTTGAGATGCAGTCTCGCTCTGTCACCCAGGCTGGAGTGCAGTGGTGTGATCTACATTCAATGCAGCCTCTGCCTTCCAGATTCAAGCGAGTCTCCTGCCTCAGCCTACTGAGTAGCTGGGATTACAGGTGTCCACCATCCCACCTCGCTAATTTTTGTATTTTTAGTAGAGACAGGGTTTCACCATGTTGGCCAGGCTGGTCTCGAACTCCTGACCTCAGGTGATCCGTCTGCCTCGGCCTCCCAAAGTGCTGGAATTACAGGCATGAGCCACTGTGCCTGGCCGATCTTTTTATTTAAACTTTTATTTTAGGTTCAAGGGTACATGTGCACATTTCTTATACAGGTAAACTTGTGTCACAGGAATTGGATGTACAGATTATTTTGTCACCCAGGAGCTAAACCTAGTATGTAATAGTTACTTTGTTCTGATTGTGTCTCCTCCTACCCTTCACCCTCAGGTAGGCTCCAATGTTTGTTATTCCCTTATTAATGTCCATGTGTTCTCATCATTTACTCCAACTTATAAGTGAGAACATGAGGTATTTGGTTTTATGTTCCTGCATTAGTTTGCTAAATATAATGGCTTCCAGCTCCATCTGTGTTCCTGCAAAGGACATGATCTCACTGATTTTTATGGATGCATATCATTGCATGGGGTATATGTGCCACATTGTTTAATCCAGTCTTTCATTGATGGGCATTTGGGTTGATTTCACGTCTTTGCTATTGTGAATATTACTGCAGTGAACATATGTGCACATGTGTTTTCTGATAGAACAATTTATATTCCTTTGGGCATATATCCACTAATGGGATTTCTGTGTCGAATGGTGGTTCTGGTTTTAGGTCTTTAAGGAATGCTTTCCACCATGATTGAATTAATTTTCTCTCCCATCAACAGTGTATGAGGATTTGCTTTTCACTTCAACCTTGCCAGCATCTGTTATTCTTTGACTTTTCAATAATAGTCATATCTTACTGGTGTGATGTGGCATCTCATTGTGGTTTTGATTTGCATTTCTCTAATGATCCGTGATATTGAACGTTTTTTTCATATGCTTGTTGGCCTCATGTATGTCTTCTTTTGAAAAGTGTTTGAGTTATTTGCCCACTTTCTAATGGGGTTGCTTGTTTTTTTCTTGTAAATGTGTTTAAGTTCCTTACAGATGCTGGATGTTAGACCTTTGTCAGATGCATAGTTTACATACATTTTCTCCCATTCTGTAGATTGTCTGTTTACTCTGTTGATAGTTTATTTTGCTGTGCAAAAGCTACTTAGTTTAATTTGATCCCATTTGTCAGTTTTTGCTTTTGTTGCCATTACTTTAGTGTCTTTGTCATGAAATATTTGTCCTTTCCTGTCTCCAGATGGTATTGCCTAGATTGTCTTCCAGAGTTTTTATACTTTTTGGTGTTACATGTAAGTCTTCAATCCACCTTGAGTTGATTTTTGAATATAGTTTAAGGAAGGAGTTCAGTTTCAGTCCTCTGCATATGGCTAGCCAGTTATCATAGTATCATTTATTGAATAGGGATCCTTTTCCCATTGTTAATTTTTGTCAGCTTTATTGAAGATCAGGTAGTTTTAGGTACGCAGCCTTATTTCTGGGTTCCGTATTCTGTTCCATTTGTCTATGTGTCTGTTTTTGTATCTGTACCATGCTGTTTTGTTTACTGTAGCCCTGTAGTGTAGTTTGAAGTTGGGTAGCATGATTCCTTTAGCTTTGTTCTTTCTGCTTATAATTGTGTTGGCTGTTTGGGCTCTTTTTAGTTTCCATTTGAATTTTAAAATAGTTTTTTTCTAGTTTTGTGAAGAATGTCATTGTTAGTTTGATAGGAGTAGCATTGAATCTGTAAATTGCTTTAGGCAGTATGGACATTTTAACTATATTGTTTCTTCCTATCCATAAGCATGGAAATATGCAATGACATTGATAGTATCAAAATAAAGGAGTGGAGAAAAATCTACCAAGAAAATGGAAAACAGAAAAAAGCAGGGGATGCAATCGTAATTTTAGACAGCACAGACTTTAACAAATATCAAAAAAAGAAAAGAAGGGAATTACATAATGGTAAAGGATTCAATTCAACAAGATGACCAAACTATCCTAAATAACTATGCACCTAACACAGAAGCACCCAGATTCATAAAACAAGTTCTTAAGAGACCTTCAAACAGACTTAGACTCTCACACAACAGTAATGGGAGTCTTCAACACTCCACTAACAGTGCTAACAAATCATTGAGGCAGAAAATTCACAAAGATACCCAGGACCTGAACTGAACACTGGACCAAATGGATCTGATAGACAACTACAGAACTGTCCACCGAATACAATGGAATATACATTATTATCATCTGCACATGACACATACTCTAAAATCTGGCACACATTGAGCATAAAACAATCCTCAGCAAATGGAAAAGTATGAAAATCACGCCCACCATTGTCACAGACCATAGCACAGCAAAAGTAAAATTTAAGACTAAGAGAATCACTCAAAACCATAAAATTACATATAAATTAAACAACATGCTCTTGAATGATTTTGGGGTAAATAATGAAATTGAGGCAGAAATCAAGAAGTTCTTTGAAATTAATCAGAACAATAATACAACATACCAGAATCTCTAGGACACAGCTAAGGCAGTGATAAGAGGGAAATTTATAGCACTAAATATCATCCAAAAATTAGAAAAATCTCAAATTCGTAACCTAATATTACAACTAAAAGAACTAGAAAGGCAAGAGCAAATCAACCCCAAAGCTAGCAGAACATAGAAATAACCAAAATCATAGCTGAACAGAAGGAGATAGAGACATGAAAAAACATTCAAAAGATCAATGAAGCCAGGAGTTGGGCTTTTTGAAAAAATTAATGTAATTAATAAGCCACTAGCTAGACTAATAAAAGAAAGAAGATCCAAATAATTAGATTCAGAAATGATAAAGAGGATACTGGCCCCCCAAAATACAAATATCCATCAGAGAGTACTATGAAGACCTCTATGCCCACAAAATAGAAAATCTAAAATTAAAGGATAAATATCTGGACACATTTGCTCTCCCAAGTCTGAATCAGTAAAAAACTGAATTCCTGAAGAGATCAATAATGACCTCCAAAATTGAATCAGTAATAAATAGCCTACCAACCACAAAAAGCCTAGTACCTGAAAGAGTGACACCCAAATTCTACCAGATGTACAATGAAGAGCTGGTATCATTCCCATTGAAACTCTTCCAAAAAATTGAGTAAGAAGGACTTCTCTTCAATTCATTCTATAAGGCCAACATCATCCTGCTACCAAAACCTGTCAGAGGCAAAACAAAAAAAGGAAAGTCCGGGCCAATATGCTTGATGAACACTGATGCAAATATCCTCAACAAAATACTAGCAAACCATAGTAATTCAGCAGTACATAGTAATCTCTTAAAGATTTATAGTAGCAGAACAGTCTTAAACATTTTTCAACATTAACAAATTTTTATCTGTGATATCCACCTGTAAAATTATATAAATGTGATTTTTAAAAATACAGGCATATTTTACAACTAAATCGCTGAAAAGTGCTATGTAGGAACTAAGCACATAAGTATATGATTTATAGAATCCGATGTATACGCTGCTTCTTTTAATCTCTTTCTTCTTGTTTCCTTCCCTCTTTCCCTCCTCCTGTCTGTTCTTTTCTTCCTCTCTCCCCATGACTTCTCCTTTTTTTCTTTTACTTTTTGATTCAGAATTCATTGATAACCTTGATTAGACTTTTCTCTATAGTCTGGACTAGTGATTTCAAATTACATAAGATATAGTCCCTACCTTTGAGTCCCTCAATATTGGGGTAGAGAAAGAGAAGATTATTTATAAGATTCTGCCTGCCATAGCATTGTTATCTGCAAGAAGCTATGGAGAACAGAAAATGGAAGAATGACAAAGTCAAAGGGGTTCAGGGCATGGTTAGTTAAGGTAATGATTAGAGCAATGGCTCAGGATGCCTCTAGGTGGGCACAGGTTTGAGGTAGATTGCATATATTCAGAGAGTTACAAGGAGTTCAGCATCTTGAAAGTATTATGTGACTATGGGCTGATGATCAAAAAAATACAAAGGGAGAGTTAGGTTGCGCATATGTGGAAGAGACATGGATAACTTTGAGGAGTTTTACAGACAGAAATGCATTCAATGACTGACTTAAGTAAAGGAATTTACTAGAAATTCAATTTAGTGAAAACAACTATGGATCCCTGTTAGGTCCTTCCCTATTCTTTTCCTTCATAAAGTGCCATTATTTGTTAAATATGCATCGGCTTATTAAATGATAGACTGTAAATGATAAAAACAATAATATATCTGTATTATAATCACCACATCATCAATGCCAATCATAGTGCTTATCACAAAATAGGTGCTCAATAATTATTTTCTAAATAAAGAAATGAATAAACAGGTTAATCTGAGCCTATGAGAAATTTATAGACATTTACCTTAGTTATTATCATTATAGCTATTCTACCTAATGTTTTGACCATGTGGATGACAAGCAGAATGGGGAAGGCAAAATTATAAACAAACCTCACCCAAGATTCATGTCTCCTGGTAATTCAGTCATACCAGGGGACACAAATCTTGATAATGCTGTGAAAGGATTTTCCAATTATTGCAACTAATCAGTTGAGCTGAGAATAGGAATATTTTCCTGGACTATCCAGGGGAGCCAGATGTAATCACATGGGCCCTTAAAAGCAAATGAAAGGCCGGCATGGTGGCACACATCTGTAATCCCAGCACTTTGGGAGGCCAAGGCGTAGGCAGGTGGATGGCTTGAGACCAGCCTGGGCAACATGGTGAATCCCCATCTATACAAAAAATACTGTAATACTGAAATTAGCCGGGTAGAGTGGCACGTGCCTGCAGTCCAAACTATGGAGGAGACTGAGGTGGGAGGATTACCTGAGCCTGGAGAGGTGGAGACTTCAGTGAGCCATAATTGTGCCACTGCACTCCAGCCTGAGCGCCAGAGTGAGATCCTGTCTAAAAAAAAAAAAAAAAAAAAATGGAGAGCAGAAGAATCCATCAGAGAGATGTCTGAGAGAAGCAGGCCACAGGGAAAGCCTGAGAAGTAAAGTGTGCACCCTCTCAGAGCAAACACACCATGACTGACAGCCGAAAGGAAACAAAGACCTCAGTCCTAAAACTGCAAGAAACTAAATATTGCCAACAACTTGAATGAGCTTGGGAGGAGATTCATCTCCATAATCTCCAGAGAGGAACAGAGCCCTGCCAACATCTTGATTTAGGTCTCAAATCCAGAGATAAGGAGGCAGCTGAGCCGTGCTCTGCCAGACTGTGACTCATAGAAACTGTGAGATGCTAAATGAATGTTGTTTTAAGCTGCTAAATTTGTGATAATTTGTTATAGCAGCAATAGAAAACTAAAACAAGTAGTTATAATATTCTTTCTTTAAAATTGTTAGGGAAAAGTAAACTTTGAATGAAGTCTCAGGAGTGCAAATTTTATTTTATGTCAATACACATTAAATAAAATAAAAGAGGAGAAAATATTTAACTGAGTGAGAATTATACTGTCAGGATGCAGGGGTCATTGATACCATGGCTTTTTTACATCTTGTGCACCAAATTCCATAATGGGCTTACAAGAATATGACTGCTGGGGAAAAAAGAAAGCAGGGGAGATCTCTTTAGTTGTTTGGAGAAAAAGGTGAAAGAGAGAGGGTCTGTTTGTTTCCTTTAGCTGTATCGGTGAAGTACAAGATTTTGCTGAGCATGAAGCAGTCAGAGATTAAGTATAGGACTTAAACAGAATCTGAATATTGGAATTATTTGATCCATGACAAATACTAAAGGTTGCTGAAACTCCAAAGACCAAAAATTATGACAACGAATGTACCCATTATGCTTGTTGCTTCTCTCTTATCTCAGAAAATTCAGGGTAGGTCATTTAAAGAATCTTCTGCCAACAAGAACATTTTATTTATTTGTGTGTTTTAGGCAAGAAATGTATATATTCTTCTAGAAATAGAAAATTACTTACATATGTCATTCTAAGTTGTTTTATCATAGTGCTATTGAAATATGAATAAATATGAAACTAGGATTCTTTTAAAGCTTCATCCATTAAAATATGAAATAAATTTAAATTTTTAAAAATCTATAAAACCATTTTTGCTGTGGTTTCAATGATTCCTCTGAAACTCATGTTGAAACTTAATAGCCCATCTGGAAGTATTGAGAGGTCAGGCCATTAGGAAGTGATTAGATTATAATAGGTCTGCCTTCATAAACGGATCAATCCATTCATGGATGTATATCCATTCATGGATAAATGGATTAATGGGTTAGTGGATTTTTTTTTTTCTTTTTTAAGAGACAGGATCTCACTCTGTCAACCAGGCTGGAATGTAGTTGCACAATCATGGCTTACTGCAGCATTGACCATGTGGGCTCAAGCAATCTTCCTACCTCAATACTCCTCCCAAGTAGCTATAGAGGCATGCAGCAGCACACTAGGCTATTTTTTAAACTTTTTTTTTTTTTTTTTTTTTTTGTAGAGATGGTGTCTCCCTATGTTGCCTAGGCTTGTCTTGAGCGCCTGGCCTCAAACTATTCTCCCACCTCACTTCCCCAAGTGCTGGGATTACATCATGAACTACTGCCCAGGCCAGGTTAATGGATTTATGAGTTATCACAGAAGGCAAACTGGTAGATCTAAAAGAAGAAGAAGAAAGACCTAAGCTAGCATGTTAGCACACTCATATCCCTCTGCTTGTGATACAGTGCACCACCAGTCCCCAATAGCAGGAGAGCTCTCACAAAATGTGTCCCCTCGTCGGTCGACTTCTCAGACTTCATAACTGTAAGAAATACATTTATTTTCTTCATAAGTTACTTAGTTCTATGTATTCTGTTATAAGCAACAGAAAATGGACAAAATAAAAAATACACCTAAACTAATGGCAACATTCTAATGTGATGTATCATGTTATGTTGCTGAATGAAACAATTTGTGACAAGATAAATTTGGCCTCCATTGCTAACTCACAGGATTTTTAGTTTGCCCTGACTGTGTGCCGTGCATCTCCATGTGTTGACTCATCTTTCAACAGCTTTTTCCAAATCCTTGCTAAAGCTACATGGGGCTTCACTTGATTGAAATATGTTGTTTACAAATTATCTTGTCTTACTCTTTTCTTATTATCCTATTATAATTAAATACAGACTACTTTATATCAACATGTTTGTATAGACATAGGCGTTGTTTCACCTACATATCCTAAAAATGCTTTCATTAATATTTAGATCAACCTCAGAATGGAAAATAGTATAGAATACTAAGGTATTGCCGTAGGAGGAAGTTTGTGCAACACTGTTTTGCAGGTTCTACAGTGGATGAAATGAAATTCCACTTTCAGTTTCCCAAGTTCAGGCTGCTCCAGAACAGAATGGCAATCCAGAAAATCACTTTGATTCCTTATTTAGCAGAGAGAGGGTAGAGAAACTGTTCCACAGAATTGGGATTAGGACCTGGGTCTCTCAATAGACTGATAGATCCAGGGTTTAGATGGTCTACAATAATCAGAAAGAAGAAAATAAAGTATAATTCATGGATCACCATAATTAGAAAGAAAACGAAGTATGTAAGACTGTTCTCTTCTGGAAATGCCACTGAACGATTTATTTGAAGACAGAAAAGTATTTATTTAAAGGCTTTTATTTAATGTAAAATCCCAATAGAAGGAGTTGGGAGAAGACTGAAATCAATAGAGGATGAAAACTGGCAATTTCTTTCAAATAGCAAATGGCAGGAGAAAAAGAAAATGCTAAAT
This sequence comes from Homo sapiens, assembly GCF_000001405.40. Lineage (NCBI taxonomy): Eukaryota > Metazoa > Chordata > Mammalia > Primates > Hominidae > Homo > Homo sapiens. The sequence continues at coordinate 66,770,438 of NC_000006.12, read as the reverse complement.
AAAGAAATATAGAGGAGGAACATGAAAACTGGATAAGAAAATTAAGTTTAGGGGAAAAGCCTTAGAATTGGATGATTATAAAAAAAGAAGCAATAGCAAAACATTGGCCAGATTTTAATATTCAGACATTATCAAAATAATTTTAACTTACACTTTTCATAAAAGTTATGGTTTGAATTCATTATCTTCTATAGTTTGGCTCCAACAGTTGTGGGTTTTTTAAATTTCCATTTCATTTACAGGTTTTTAAAGTTGGCTGCAAAAATCTGTTCCCCAACAAAATTCAGACCTACCCAAGGAATTAAATATATTTTATGTACTCTCAAGACAGTTTTATCTCTCCTCAAAAAAATTAAAAGTACAGTATTAACAACCTCCTACTCCTACACATGGTTTAGATGGAAAAAGATTTTGATGTCAAGCATTCTGAATGCCATTTACTCTTCAGTAAAATGAAATAAACATTTAGCCAGATTGAGATACTGAGGTTTATAAAGAATTTCATATGTGCTGATATTTTGTCGATGTATTTTTATGATGTATTTATAAATAATGGATCCATAATATGCAAATATACTGCTGAAGCATATTTCTAACAGGCTTGGAAATAGTTGCTGGGCTTTAATGCATGTGCTGTGAATTTTATTAACAGTACATAAGATGTGGCTAGCCACGTATTATATGTTTTGTAGGGGGAACTTACTGAAGATATTTTATTCTTAATTTATAGTGAGATAAAAAATAATAGTTTGCATATAAGAAATAAGCAGTTTCCCCAGTCATCCTATATTATTAGGTTGGGTTAAAACTGTAATTGAAAACTTTATTCTTTAAAAAACAATAATATGAGAGTTAAATAGTTGATAGGTTTGAAGATGATAAATAGATAAAAATATCTAGATTTATATAAATTTTTATTAACATATGGTTCATATTCAATAAAATGTACTGCAGTTGAACATTTATCAATGTACATTCAAATAGATATTTTGATTAACTGGTACTTTATTGAAATTATTGCTTATTAAAGTATAATTTTCTTAATTTTCTAACAACAGAGACTTTACAGATCTCTAGCTTTGCAAAGCCTCTACTATAAAATATTAGTTACTCACTAAATAATTGCTCCAAAATGAAAATAATTAACTATATTCTAATAGTTGTTTATCAAATAATATTATATTTGCCAATGCATAAACCATTTATTAAATACTGTAATAGAGCCTAAAGATGTAAATGAACGTTTATCCAATAGATAGATAATTCATATTTTAAAATCAAGATCTTGTTAATGCATACAGATTCAATGTGATTAATATTATTGTTCATTACATAGAATATATTTTAAAGTATAAGATATAAACCCAATCATTAAAGAAATTCATTTGATATTTTCATTAATGTTTTGAACTTTAATCATTTAGCACAATATTTCATAGGTACATCTTAATTATTGATTTTAGTAGCCATAGTAGCTATCTATATTGACTTATATGTAGTTAAATGTATAGATTTTTTTAATGCAGTAAAATACCAGAAATGTAGGAATCATTTTTAGCCACCTTTATTAACTTAAAAGTATTCTCACCTCTTCTAATTTTTGTTTGTTTAACCAAGGGAGAGAGTACCTACTCCTTCAAAGGAGATGGATTTGAATTACCTCAACCATGGTGGAGCCCTGCCATAGCTGGGGATCTGTATGTACTAATCCAGTATTTCTCAGATGTGATTATTTGGTAAATAAAATATGTTTTATTTTACATGGATATTTTCTGTTGTGAATAATTATGTATACAGCTTTAAAATCCACAGCCAAATTGGCCAAATATTGAAAACATTTTTTAATAGTTCTAAACAAAATAATGGCCTATATGATATTTCAACTAGCCATTTTATTTTCTTGGTTTTTTTTTTTTTTTTGGTTCTTTTAATCTATTATAATCAGATCTAGGTAAAATGTAACAAGTAGCCTATTGTAAAGACAATTTTTACTTTTTAAATTGTAAAAAATACAGAAGCATGGCATAAAAAGTTGGTAAAATTTAAACTGAAAAAAGGAAAATAAAAGTTTGGAAAGCAGTAGCCCACTGAAAGGTAAATACTATTAACATTTTGGTTATGTGTGCTTCCTGTTTATGTGTTTTTGCATGCTTTTTAATAAGGTTGAAGTCACACCACTTTTTACAATGATGTGCAATTCTTTTGATTTTTACATAATGAAAACATAGATTTTTTTTCAGTTAGATCAGAATTAATCAAATGTATTCATTTAGCATATTATTAGAGTTACCCAAGGGTAGAATATCTCAAAAAATATTTATAATTTACTTTTCCTATGCCCCATCTCCAGAATTAGCTAGGCTTGTATATTTTATTTCCTAATTTGACTAGTGAAAACTATATCAAAATGATTTTTTTTGTTTCAATGAGTTGAAATATTTTCTGTTTATCGTCAGTGGTATTTCTATCATATGACTTATCTGTTCACTGTTTTTTTGTGAATGTATAAATGGTATTATTTTTATTCATAATGCATATTTTAATTATCAAAGAACACAGTGGTTATAGAAAAATAGAGTATCACACATGTAAAGTAAATAATTTTTAAAAATTCATAACATCCTCCTAAAGACAAAACTATTATTTTTCAGTAGGATCTTAGAATAATTTCAATTGTTGGTGGTGTACGTCTATATTATTTTGCTTCTTTTTTAGAAATGTAAATAGTGAAGCTTGTTTAGTTTTAGAACAATATAATAGGTTAAATGTATTCATAGTTATTTTCATCATAATTTTTATAATTAGAGTCAATACAACAATTAATATTTTATTAAATTTGAGTTGTTTTGTGGAAAAGCATGTTATTAGGTATTTTCTCATAAATCTTATTTACAAGTATAGTTTTCTGAAGTTCCTCATCAATATTATTTTTGTAATTCTTAGTTATATAATATGCTTAACGCTTTGCTACCATTTTTTCTTTATAAATTCGAGTCAATTTTTATCACCGTCTAGAAATACTACTAATTTTGTGTTTATTTTTTAATCAGTCACTTTACTGATCTTTCTTATTAGCTTCAATGTCTTCTGCTTCTGTACAATTAAATCATGTCATTACCAAAAATGATAATATTATTTCCTCCTTTTTATTGTATAATTCATAGATATATTTGTTAACTTATTGCAAACTAAAATACTAAAATTGTAAAATAATACTAGTAATAGCAGGGACATTTGTATTTTATTATTATTTCATCTGATGTTGGGTACCTCTAGGTGATCAACATTAACTATAACTCTAGAGTTTGCTTTTTAAATTATTTTTATCTTGTCAAAGACATTCATTGATTTCTAGTTTTCTAAAATAAAATGATTATTATTCAAATCAGGAGTAAATCAAAAATTTTTATTACATATATTGTGTTATCTATTATAAAAAACCAATTTTTTTCATTTAATTAATGTAAGGTATTTTGTTATGAGATTCTATACTTTTTATTTTGAAGGAGGTAAAATGTGCTGTCTCTGTTGTATTATTTCTGATGTCTTACATTTGACATTTCTGCAGGTGCATCATTATTTTTTTGTTTTCATTTGTGATTTTACATATATTATTTGAATTGTATTCATCTAAATTCATAGTTTTACTTATAAATTTATTTCCTTGTGTTTGTTATAGACTATGATATATAGATGTCACACAGTGTTTAGTATATAACATTCAAATTATTCCTATCATTGATTTTCCAAATATTTTAGCATATAATTTGTCAAATATCTTAAAACATAATTTTCTGTTCATGTGTATATAATATCTATATCATTATTAACTTAGATCTTTCTGTTTTCTCTGTTATATATGTTTTTCACTAACCATGAATGATTTGTATGTTTACTGATACTATCTGAGGGTTAAAACATTTTACAATTCCCATTTATGTACTTTTGTCTCCTGTTTTTAAGTAATATATGTATATATGTTATGAAGTTTTATGCTAATTTTTTGAGAGATAATTTTAGTACACTTATTCATCCTTAAATTTTCCCTTAGTATTTCTATGCATTCATAGCCTTTAAAATTTTTTTTATTTTTTATTTTTTGAGACAGAGTCTTACCAGACTGGAGTGCAGTGGCATGATCTCAGCTCACCGCAAACTCCACCTCCCACATTTAAGCGCTTCTTTTGCCTCAGTCTCCCCAGTAGTTGGGATTACTGGTGCACACCACCACACCCAGCTAATTTTTGTATTTTTAGTAGAGACAAGATTTCACTATGTGGCTAGGCTGCTATCGACTCCTGGCCTCAAATGATTGGACAGCCTCAGCCTCCCAAAGTTCTGGGATTACAGGTGTGAGCCACTGCACCTGGCCATATGCATTTATAGCCTTTTATGTTTAAATTCTTCAGGGATTTACAACTTATTGAGATAGATAATTCTAGAATGAACAACAGTCTATATAAGACTACAGTTTACTTATGATTTTTCTCTTAGACTAATGGAAGTATATATATGGCTCAATTATAATAATGAACACTATTAAAGATCTTGATACATCCTCCAAATAGACTTCCAAAGAAGTTAAGTAACTCTTACCTAATAAAAGCATGACAGCTTTTATTAAATCATGTCACCACATTCTATTACTATCCACAAAAAATGTTTGCAAATGTAAGAGGTCAAAGAGATAACTTGTAATTAGTATTATTAGGTTGATGCAAAATTAATTGTGGTTTTTGTCATTGAAAGTAACCGCAAAAACTGAAATTACTTTTGCAAGGACCTATACTTAAAGAGATTAAAAAGTATTTGCTTATGATGAGTTTATATTAATCCCTTTTTGAATACTCATTTTACATCTAATTTGCCACTGTTAGTTGTCTGTGCCCAAGGTATCTTCTTTAGAAAGTAACCCCTTCTCTTTAGCATGTCATTTATAGAAATTTCAAGGTGGATAGGTGCTCCAGGCTTGCAAACATAGTACACCACTGTGCATGGCGAAAAAAAGAACTCTGAGATGAAGCAGAGTTAATAAAAACCAATCCCTGTAATTAAATGTAATTAAGATAATATCAGGACTCCCAGAGGTTACTAGGTCAAAAGGATATAAAATTTGTTCCTTTTGATGGCTATATTTCAAGGTCAAATGGAGAACACTAAACGTACTTTGAGAAAATGAAGCCAACACAGAAAAGAAAGCAAAGCTGAGAGAGGGGAAAAAGGAGGAGGTGAGGAAAAAAGAGGGAGATTGGGAAGAGAGAAGAGGAAGGGATAGGTGCCAGATTTCATTATTTAAACCTCTGCATCCTCCTATATATGAGGCTACTTCCTCTCCTGGAGTTGCAGTTATATGAACCAATGAAGAATATAGTCTATTCAGTTTTGAGCAATTTCAACCTGAATGTCATGTATATGTAACAGCCATTGTCGAGAAACATACAGAAATATTTGTACCAGACACAGAATATTCTAAGAGCAAACTCTATAGAACTGGTGAATTCAAGTTCAGAAAAGTAGCAATAAAGATTTCCCTGTCTGACTTGGATTATGATAACATTTTTAATGTAGCAGTAAAAAAACTGGTTACATTCCTACCTTTTACATTTTTAAATTTAGATTACACTAGAAGTTTGGAAGAAAATAAAAAATATAAAAGGTTTAAATCTGGGAATCTGTTGTTTTAGGAGTTTCTTATAATGGTTTGGATCCAAGTTTGCCAATATGAATGGAAAGCATGCAGGTGCAGTACAAGTACTCCCCTCACCCAGTCCCAGCAATAAAAATTGCTGAGAGTCAGGTAATTATGTGCCTTATGGAAATAAAAAACCTGAATTATCTGTGTAAAACTGCATCCATTAGAAATGAAGGTAATGTACAGAAAAGACAAGCATAATAGAGGACCAGTAGCCATTAGGACCAGAAAAATGGAAGGTGCCTGATCTCTTGGGAGGCCCCATGAACACCTCCATCTTCAGGACAACATATTTGGATACAATCAAGAGGAAAACATTTCATATTATCCTGAGGTACTCATAAAGAAGGAATCCATATTATTGAAGCCTAGAAATCTGAGTATTACCCAGCTTTTAAATTAGAAGTCTATAGAAAAAGGTCCACATTCAAATATCATATCGAGATAAGATTTCTTGCTTAATGTATTAATCCATGGAGTAGTTATTAATCACATAATCTGTCAACCAACATAATTAGATTAATTCTTCCACGTTGCAGCTCTCAGTCATATACATGTAAAACAATAAATGGACACAGTAGATATGCCCAGTGGGTACAGTTAAGGACAAATAGACTAGTAAAAAAATTCACTCCACTTCCTGGAAAATTATTGCTCTTCCTAACGAGAAAAATATCAGGCAAGTGTATTTGCCTTCTTTTCTTCCTTTACAAAGTTGTAGTTATTATTTTGGTAATCCTATTTTCATTCAACCGCCTTACACTGAATGGGTTAATTCTTGTTAAGATGTATACTAACTGGATATTGAGGAGGAATGAGCACCACCAGAAAAGTAGAGATTTGATGAAATAATTGATATGAACTATATATTTTTATAGAGGGATACATTTTCAACTTTTCATTCTCCTTTAATGATGGGCAGTGGCATTGTGATAGGACTAGTTCTTTTTGAAATTGCATTTAAGAGGAAATGAGTTTATTGTCAAAGGATAGGTTTCCTTTGAGATCAGAATCTCTCCAACTCTGTCCAACTCTACTAGAATTTTCAATCACATAAAACCAAACCTCATAACCAAAATTTAGGAATGGACGTATAATGACATTTGCCCCATCATAATATTCCATGTCCCTGGCAAGAGTGGTAATAGAAGTGATCACAAAACACAGTGGAATCTTTAATTGGAATATATACAGAATGGAGTTTGAAAGGGCTTGCTTTCATGAGGATACAAAATTGATACTTATAGCTAATGCATTATCCTCATATTTCATCAAAGCATTCATCTCATTATTATTGATTTCTTGTTTACTTTATATCTCATAATGAAAAACTTTAGTTATGTTATTGTATTTTATATAATTCATCAACCAAGAGTTATAAAGTTTTAAAAAATATTAAAATGTTTGAATTTTTTCAAGTTTATCTAAAATTTTACAGTCAATATAATCATAGTCATATGGTTGTAAGTGTAATTATAATCATATAGTTATACATACTAGAAAGAAGGTGCTCATTAAGATCCCTATGATGCTGGTACTCTGATCTTGGACTTTCAACCTCCAGATCTGTGAGAAATTAAAGACTATTATTTTAATCACCCAGTCTATGGTAATTCATTATTTCAGCCCAAGCTGACTAAGACAGTATGCATAGACTAACTTTGGATGAACACTGTTTTACCAACACACGTAGCATAGAGCACGTAAGTATTTCATAGCTTCCATTTTACATTACTAAAGGTGTATTCTGCTCTATATTTCATTTTCCTGAGAGTTTGGTAGTTTCATTTTATTACCAAGTTTAGAAAGTAACATACCAAAGTGTTTTATCATTCACATTTTGGTCTGATAAACCTTGATTTTCAATGTCAAATACGTCTCTCACTAACTCAATATGCATTCTATATTTTCTCAAACTTTAATGGTGATAATAATAATATCTACCTTCTAGAACTGCTGTAAAGATTGATTGAAAGTATCATGGAAACTTTTTAGAACAATGTCTGGCTCATATTAACATCCCGACAATGAATATTAGTTTTAATTATCTTTGGATGTACTGATGTAGCTAATACTGGTGTACTTAGTACAATTAATGAACTGAAGCTGTAACTCAAAACCATTGTATTAGTCCGTTTTCACACTGCTATAAAGACATACCCGGGACTGGATAATTTATAAAGAGGTTTAATTGACTCACACTTCCACATGCCTGGGGAGGCCTCAGGAAACTTACAATAATGGAGGAAGAGAAAGAGGCATGTCTTACATGGCAGCAGACAAGTGAGAGAGAGAGAGAAGGAGAGAGAGAGAGAGAGAGCAAGAGTAAGGAAAACTCCCTTGTAAAACGGTCAGATCTCATGAGAACTCACTCAGTATTACAAGAACAGCATGGGGGAAAATGTCCCCAGGATCCAATCACTTTCCACCAGGTCTCTCCCCAAATTCAAGATGAGATTATAATACAAGATGAGATTTGGGTGGGGACACTAAGCCTAACCGTATCAGCCATAGTAAACTTAAACTAAATTAATGACTATCAGAGTTCTTTTGGAAGTCACACAGCTAAGCTGCTTCTGGGAATATTGTGATCTCTGGGGGTGTAAGCGTGAACTTAATATGTTTCTTCTAATGTTCTACTTACAGAAAGCCTTTTTTAAAAAATTTTAGTTCCCCCTGTTTATTGAGGAAGCCTATTTTGGTTGAATTACACATAAATGTTAAAATACACACATCTTAATAAACAAATAACATCTCTTAAAGAGTGTCTCATCATTCTTTGATCCTAGAGTAACATTAACATAATATAACTTGTGTTTTGGAGCTCATTCCTTATGAATTGTTGTGACCTTCACATTAGAGAAGACCATGTTAAGATCACAAAACTCATGCTTACACTCTCAGATCAGGTTATGCCCAGGAGCAGACTAACTGTGTGCCTTCCCACTGGCAGGATAGTTCAATTAGCCTACTCAATTTGGGTGAAATATGTGTTCATTGAAGTTTGCTCCTAGGTATGACTCAGATCATATACAAATATTTCATTTCTTTGAGATATATATATATATATATATATATATATATATATATATATGTATGTGTGTGTGTGTATATTCACAGATAAGTAAAAGTAATGACAGAAACATTTTTAACAACAACAGAAATATATTTATATTGAAAAATATTAGAAGATATAGTCATTGGAGAAAATATTATCAGAATTTGGAGTTTATGTACCACTCAACTGGAAGAACTTTTTTTAAATTAAGCATACTATCTTTATTAAAATTGGGAATTCGGGAATCTAGACTAGGATTCAGCTCAATAATGAATTTTTTTAATCCATTTGTATAATCTCTGAATTACAGACAATAGAAAAATGAGAAATAAGCAGTTCCTAGTTTCAAAATTTATGATATATAGTAAGATAAATAGATAAAGTCCACAAATGATTACAATTAAACCTTTGCCAGAAGGGAATTTCGGCTAAAGCCGAAATTCACACTGAAATTCTATTAAACTGGCAGCCATTTGAAAAGATTTTTTTTGAATGAAGTGGTGTTTGAAAAGGAGCCATTGATAAAGAGTAAGAGAGAATGAAAGAGAGAAAGACAGACACAACAGCACAGAGAAAGAGAGAGACACAGAGAGAATAAAGTTCTCTTACAGGCCATGGGTGACTAAAATGGAAGAATGAAATTAAAAGGTAAAAATGCTAGAGAGGCTTCATTGCAGGGAAAGCCCTGCTAAGTTGACTCATTTATTTCATTTTTATTTGCTAACATATCTTGTTACAAAACCCAGAAGAGATTTCTGAAGGTAAATTTGTTAAATAAATTTTAATGTTTCAGTTGCTTGAAAAAAATTTTGTCATCCCTTTAAAAAGTTATTTTTTAAAAAATCTAAATAATTCAGAAATATTATTGATAAAGTTAAATTAAACAATAGATCTTAGATATTTGAAAGCAGGTGATAAACTTTTGGACTAAGATGCTTCTTTATTTTTTATTTATTTTTTTTAGAGATATTTGGAGTCTGACTGTGTTGCTCAGGCTAGAGTGCAGTGGCACAATCAAAGCTCACTGCAGCCTCCATCTCCTGGGCTCAAGTGATCCTCCCACCTCAGCCTCTCAAGTAGCTGGAATTATAGGCAGGAGCCACTGTGCCTGGATGAAATGCTCTTATTGACATGCTACTTGTTTCTGTCTCTTGGTTTCAAAATTTGCCTTCATTAATATTAATTTTTTGGCTCTTTATTAGTCTTCAATTTTTTTCCTTCCTAAATATTCATGTCATATATCATTACTTTCAGAAATGTGATTATTAGATACCAGTTTATCTCACTTTTTATTGAATTCTTATTTTACTATAATACCTTTTATACACAAAAATATAATAAATTGCTAAAGTATCAGGAAACATAATTTATATGTTTATACACTTCAATATTTGAAATAAAAAAGTAATACTGTTGAAACCACTGGGTCTACCACCCTGATCAAACTATTCTCTTTCCCTATGCCAAGGATATTAACTAGTTTTTGTTTTGTACTCATTTTCCCCTTCTTTCCAATTCGGTTTTATATATTATGTATATATGTTTGTATGAGCAATGCATTATAATTTTTTCAATATTTTCAAAGAGCATACATGGTATCCCAATGCATATATTCTTCTGCAACTTATTTTCTTGGGTTCATGTTTGTTAATTTTACTATATTGACATATGGAACTATTTTTTATTCATTTCCATCTTTGACAAGTCTTCCTTCATAAATATAATACAGTTTTGCAGACATTTTATATTGAGGCATGCAATAACTATATATTTTATATTTTTAGTAGAAAATATGTTGCTATGACCATTCTCATATGCAACTCCAGTACATCTGAATATACTTGGAAAAAAACTTCCTAGGGCATTTGTCCAGTAATTAAGTTGTGGGATTATATTTTTAAATATAATTTAGAATTTAATATTTCCTTGTTTTTGGATTGCAAAGAACTTCTTTTAGTGTAATGTTTTTCTCACAGATTTCAGTGAAAATTCAGTCATATATGAAGTTTCCATATATCCTCATTATTTGCATATTCTGTATTTTTAAATTTGTCTACCCACTGAAATTTATTTGTAACCCCCAGATCAATACCCCTTAGTGCTTTTATGGTCATTTGTCGACATATGCACAGCAACAAAAAATTTGGGTCTGAATGCATATTTTTCTACCTAGGGCTTCTTATTTCATCTCATACACTGTAAATGAGTGTTTTTGTGAGTTTCATGCTTTTCATGTTTTTGTGATTTTTTTATGGTGATTTTTGTTGTTGTTGTTTAATATGGCCTCCAAACATAGTGCTGAAGAGCTGTTTAGTGTTCTTAAATTTAAGAAGTGTGTTATGTTCCTTGTTAAAGAAGCTTTGTTTCAGGGATACTTTATGGTGGTGCTGGCTGTAAGTTTAATGTTAGTTAATTATATATAAATATATACATAATTTTTTAGACAGACACACACAGAGATACACATAAAATAAGGTTATGTGGTGATCAGGTGAGAAAAATGTTGTGACCAGAGACTTTCAGGAGCCTGTCCCTCCATTTCCCCTAAAAGTAATGGTTTGACATTTTTAAATTCTGTTTGAGGAGACTTCATAGAACATAACTACTGTAAATTATGTAGATCAACTGTATGTTTATTTTTCTCTGTCCTCTTTACTATGATATCTTAGTCTGTTTTCCTTTTCCTATACCAATTTTATGCTTGATTTAGTTACTGCTTTGATATAGGCCTATGTCATTCACAAGGCAAACCTCTCTCTGTGTCATTATTTTGCAGTAGTGTCTTATCTATCTGTGATTCTTTGCATCTGTGTGTTAATTTAATTTTCTACTTGTCAAGTCCAAGACATCCAGTTGATTGTCATGACTTTAAATTTATAGTTATTTGGGAAAATCTTGTAGTTTTATATTTAGCCTTTTAGTTAATAATCATGGTTTAACTGTTTGTCTTTAAAAATGCATCCTCAATAACCTTCTCTACTTATGTGTCTTTTACTTTATTGACAGACTTAAGTAAAGATACTTTAAAAATTTTGTTTTAATTTAAAATTTTATTATTTCACAAAAGTATGCTTTTTTGTTTGTCGCTGATGTTTAGGACTGGAAATGACTTTTTGATGTGGATCTTGTAACTTTGTTAAACTCTCCTCTTTTAGGTAATATTTTTACCATAGATCCTTTTGGGATTTCCATGGAGACAAATATATTATTTCTGAATGATGAGTTTCTTTCTTTTCCTGTCTTTTTAAAAATTAGATTTCCCAATCTTTAAACCTTTTCTTTTTTTTTTCTTACTGTGTTGGCATATATTAAAATGATACTGTGACATTCACCTTGTCTAATTCCTGATTTTAAAAAATTCTAACATTTACCTTAATTATTAAGAAAACTATGGATTCCTTTTGTAGATACATTTAATTAGCTACAGAAAGTTGCAATCAATACCCAGGTTTCAAAATGAATCATACTTGCACTTTATCTAAGGTCTTTTTTTCTGTATTTGTTAAGAAAATCAAATTGTTTACTCCTTTGTTCTCAAAACATTATAAATTCAATTTCTGGTTTACTATACATCCATACATTTAGTTTTATGAGTGTCTTCTGCTTTGGCTTTTTAAAACTTAATGTTGTGGAGATTTTTTTAAAAAATAGGATATTTTTATTGTGTTTATTATTCATATTTTTTATCAATTCTAGAAAATTATCTTCCATTTGCCCCTTGAATAGTGGCTTTTGAGGTAGACTCTTTATATTCCCTCTTTTATCTGGTACTTTACTAGATGTGTGTTAAAGTTTAGTAGTCTTTCTTCCATATTATATAAATATAATAATACAATTATTCAAACTATTGTAATAGTTCATATTTTCCTCTAAAGCCAACCAGCATCAGACATATCTTTATTGGTGCCTTTTGTCAGCTGACATATTTAAACAGTCATTGTTTCATGTCACCATTTTCAGGATGCAGGTTTTAAGCAGGAGTCTGAGAATGAAGCCTCAAAATTTACAATGGCCCAGCTATAGTCTTTTAGTCCCCCGCAATAAGCTGCTAATCTTCAAATATCTAAGATCCCATTATGGGACTTTGTTGTGAGGATATTAGGACTTAATATTTTCTTATTACTCTAATATTAGCTTGCTCCACCTAGGGAGAGTTTTCATTCCTTTATGGGAGCTCAGCAATGCATTTAAAATCACATTTGATGCAATGTATCCACTTTCAGTGACATAACATTTTAGTGTATCCGGTCCAGAATTTGGAGGAAGTAGAAGATATTCACTAGTAACATTTACTTTTCTTTATGGAAATAAGACAAATAATTTATTCTTCAGGATAATATGTTAGTAGCGATGCAATATTGCAGGATCTTTAATTTCTTCAGCAAACATATTAAATCTACAACCAAATTTTCAGATTAATGAAATTTGGAGATTGAAGCTTATTTTGGCCTTATAATTACAAAATTTCAGGAAAAAATTATATAGCTCTATAACTTAAACACAGGAATACATATTAACAAATACATGTATTTCGATAAGTCCTCATTATTCCCAGTTCTGCTTTGTGTGGTTTCAGTTACCCAAGGTCAGTCATGGCCTGAAAATATTAAATAAAAAATTTTAGAAATAAACAATTCATAAGTTTTAAACTGTGCACGCTTTTAGTAGCAAGATGAAATCTTGCACTGCTCTGCTCTATCTCACCAGGGATATGAACCATCTCTTTGTTCAATCTATCCATGCTCTGTATTCTACTCATCCTTTAGTCATTTAGTAGCCATCTTGGTTATCAGATTGACTGTCACAGTATTGTACGAATTGTGTTAAAGTAGTCTTTATTTTACTAATGATGACCCAGAAGTGCAAGTGTACTATGACTAATTTGTAAATTAAACTTTATGGTAACTATGTATGTATAAGAAAAAGCATATTATACCTAGGGTCTGGTAATTTCTGTGGTTGCAACTATCCACTGGAGTGGGAGTTTTGAACCCAGCCCCCACAGATAAGGTGGTATTGTTGTATTTCATGAAACAGTTATTACCAAACAAAACTATGTGTGGTGCTCAATTATGGTACACCTAAAAATGACAATTTTTGTTGTATGTAACTGAGCTACTTTAAAAATTAAAGAATATATCTTCAATTAATCTATGTTTTCATTTATTTGTTATTCAAATAGAAAATAAAACAGAAGTATCGTTAATCATTACATACTTCAGGGATACTACAGAAAATAGTCATGCCAATCAACTGTATGTCTTTACCTTAGTCAAAGAGCTCATGGTTAAATGCAGCTATCCCATATTTTCCTACCACATGTTACGTAAGTAGACTGGAATTTATATCTACAAGTTTTACAGTCTTGGCATAAATTTTCACTAGATGTAACTGTGCCCCTTCCTTTCCCACTCAAAAAGGACATTTGAATGAAATAATAAAAACAAATGTCTAGTATACACGTAAATTTTATAAATATATATTAATAGTAAATGATTAAAGGACTAAAGACTGTTTTAAGCATCATGTGTGTGATTGTGTGTATATCATATGTATGTATGCTTGTAAATATGTAGTCTAAAGAATATTTATTTAGTACAACATGCCTGGTCATAGAATTTTAGACCTAGAAAAGACCACTGAGATCATCTAGCTCAACTCTATCATTTTAGAAATGAGAAAGCCAAAGCATAAAGATGCTTGTCTAAACTTTACAGACTTGTCCTGTGGAATTATATTTCAAACAATTTAGACCAAGATAAGGAAGTTACATTTATTAATTTTATAGGTGACAGAAAACAGAGAAATACATAATATGATGGATGAGAATATTAAGATTAAGAAAGTTCTTGACAGAATAGACTGATATATAGCATTCTGGAAGATCATGTTTAACAAGGATAAATATAAACGAATGCATTTAGGTTACAAGAAAATCTGCAAATAAGAGTTGGTAAGAACTGGCTTCACTGTAGTGCTTGTCAAGAGGCCTTTTCAATCTTTGCTTAATAAAAACCAGTAAAATTATCTGACTTTTAAATAGTGAAAGTATTCATTGAAATAGTATTTAACATCAGAAAGCAACCACTTAAAACCATGCCATATACCATGTCAGATAGCGTGCATTTTTTGACCACACCACTAGAGAAGCTCTGACATCTTGGTCACCTTTCTGAGAGAAATATCAAGATGATAAGCAATCAGGCAACTTCAGGATATTTATATAATTAAAGAATTAATGCAGAGTTAGCCTTGGAAGCAAGAATTGTAGAGCTAACGTGAGGTGTGTTGTCAAACAACAAAGAATATTTATTTGGAAAAGAGTTGTATTACAGTCTTCTTTTACAAAAAAGAAAATAAAAGGCAGAAAAGCTTATTAGAGAATTTTGTCAATACAGGATGGAAAAAAATGAATTCTGATTGGAAATCAGAAAGCCTGGAGTTATGCCTCAGCTCTCAATTATTGGATGTAACATCTTGAAAAAGCCACAATTTCTATCAACCATGATTTTATCTATTAACTTGGGATAATAATATCAACCTTGTCTATTTTACAGGTGGTGATGAAAATAAAATGAAATCACAGTAGCAGTGTTTTATAAGAAATGCCTATATAAATAATAAGTCTGTAGTAATTTCAGTTCAAGGAAAGCAACATGAAAATATAACATAACACCATACTGGCTTCTGCATGCATTGTAGCAGAAATTAAAAGTCACATGTTGAGACTGTTATAATGGGGGAAATTGTCCTCAGATAATGCAGTGTGTTCGAGGGCATCTGAGGTCACTGTCAAGCCTAAGATGCTTCTTTTCTAAAAATAATAATTATGGATTTAACAAGATATTTCAAAATATTTTATTTTGTATGAATTTGTCTTTCAATAAGCTATCCTGAACCTAGGCAGTCACCAGAATTCTCATGTCATATCAGTTGGCTATTTGCCACTTGTTTGGCAGCATGGTAGCTCATGTAATAACTTGATGTTTATTTGTGAGGACTGCTTCTAATAAAATAAATTTGCTAATTTGGGTAATACAATGATTATGGAAAGAAAAGCCATTTCTTTGACATTGATGATACTTAGCTGTTAAAAGCATTTAGATTAACAGATTATTAAATTCAGAGTTGGCAAATATTTACAATTTGGATAGGTCAATCATATTCTCTATTCAGAAGTAATCAGATATAGCAGTTTCTCAAAATTCTCTGTGGGCCTTCAAACATTTCAAGGACAGTCTGAATTGCTATTTATAATTGTATCTTTTAAAAGGTCTTGTGCATATTAGCTGAAATATTTACAGGTGTGTTCATAATTCCTAAAAAGGCCTGATGTGTATCTCAGCTGAAAAATTACACATCTTTACCTTCAAAATTACTAGTCGTAATGTACTAAATTTTAAGAGAAATTTGATATTCAGATAGGCAGAAAAATAAATAAAACATGGAAGGTTTTTTTAAAAAAAACTGTGGAACAGCTTTATTACTTATTAAATGTGCCATACAAATGAATTACACTGATTAATTCACTCAAATGTATTTCCCTTCTGCAATTGAGAGAAACACCAATGTAATCCACGTGGTGTAAAAAACAATAATACATGATTGTTATGGACTGAATATTGTGCTCCTCCAAAATTCATATGCCCTGACTCCCAATCAATGGTATTTGGAAATGTGGTCTTTGGGAGGTGATTAGGTTTACATGAAGTCGTGAAGGTGAGACTCATTCTGGGATTAGATCCCTTATCTAAAGAGACCAGAGAGTTTGGCCCCTCCTCCCTCATTCTCTCTCTCTTTCCCTTCCTTCCAACATGTAAGGACACAGCAAGAAAATTACTATCTTCAAGGCAGAAAGATGGCCCTTGCCAGAAATTGAATCATCTCGCACTTTTTTTGTTTATTGTTTGTTTGTTTTTTAAGGTAGAGTCTCACTCTGTCACCCAGGCTGGAGTGCAGTGGTGCGATCTCAGCTCACTGCAACCTTCACCCTAGTTCAAGTGATTCTCATGCCTCAGCCTCTTGAGTAGCTGTGATTACAGGCATGCACCACCATGCCCAGCTAATTTTTGTATTTTTAGTAGAGAGGGAGTTTTGCCAGGCTGCCCAGACAGGTCTCGAACTCCTGGCCTCAAGTCATCAACCCACCCAGGCCTCCCAAAGTGCAGAGATTACAGGCGTCACCCACCACGCCTAGCCCATCTATTTTTTCATGGATGTCCCAGCCTCCAGAACTGTGAGAAATAAATGTCTACTTTTGAAGCCACCCATTGCATAGTAATTTGCTATAGCAACCCTGGCAAAGGTAATGATCATTAAAAATTAGTGTAAATCTACTTCTTCCCTGATACCTAGATAATTAAAATAATTTAAAATGTTGCTTATTATAAGTCTCATTCAGAAGATTTCCATATTTCTTGACTTTTTCATAATGAAGTTGCATTTTCATAAGAAAAATGTGGTATTATATTTATATATTAATATTACCTATTCTGACTTTATTTTTCCTGCCACCATATGTTATTTTTTTCTTTTACTCTTTCGTTTCCTGTCTCCCTTCCTTCCTCCCTTCCTGCCTCTCTTCCTCCTTACTTTACTCTCTTTTTCCCTGTCTTCCTCCCTCTTTCTTTCCCTCTCTTTCTGCTTCTCTTTTTTCTTGTTTTTCCCTTTCTTCCTTTTAAGAGGATTGATTCTGAAAAGGCTAAATTATGTATGGATTCCCATTCTGCAGCCACTCATATACAGTAATACAATTTGGTTGGTTGTTCCTGAGCCAGTTGATACTAGCTTGATGAATCATGAAGACAGAACTTATTTTACTTTTGTCTTTTTTTTGAAATGATTCAGGAATATTGAAAAAAGAAAAGAAGGAGGAGAAAGATGATTTAAAATGAGGAAGAAATAATTATTTATTCTCAATTTGTTTAATTCTATAATTTGCAGTCCTTTCTCAAACTACCAGTATATAACATTCTCTTCTGACAAGACTCACCTAAAATAACAAAGCCTTCATTTATTATTGACTTACACTGCTTGCTATACTTCATGGAAAGATAGATATATGTTAAAGAGATAGAAATTGGATTAGAACTTTAAAACCTGTCTCTCTATCTTTTCCTATGAGAATGGCTAATATGTAGCATTATGCTAAGCCTTTTGGATATGCTTAATATCAAATTCTGCAACAATCACTTTAGTAGATTCTGTTATTATCCTCATTGAATAAATTAAAAAAATGACCTTTAATAGAACTTTACCAAAATTAACCTAACTGGCCAGTTTTGTGGGTCTGAAGCAGAATGCCAGGTTGTTTGGGTTATAAATTTGTACTGTACTCTTCCTTTCATTTCCTGAATAGTCAAATGACACTTCAGCAAGTACACTGGTGAAGTCTCCAATAGTTTACCAATAATATGTAACTTGCTCCTTCAGTTTTTCATTATTACTTCAGGCCATTGGAGCAGTATGAAAGGCTGGGGCTTGAGAGAGAAGCCTCCTGAACCAAACTAGCTCTGTCCAAATACTGGCTCTTCCACTTTCCAGCCAACTTATTAATTTATCTGTCTGTGTTTTATTTTTATTACGCATTAATACATGTAAAAATAGTATCTATAGCAAAAAATAATTTAGAAAATGTAAAGTTTCATATATGTAAAGCTGTATCCAGACTGATAATGCTTTAATATTTTCAATGTTTATTTAGCACATGTTAAATAACTCTATAGTTTTTAAATCTAAAAATTGGGCCTTAAACAATTATCAGTATAAATATACCTTGAGGGGAAAATCTATTCTTAAAAAGAGGCATGGTGCAGTTCCCCAAAAATCTGTAAGCATTGCAGTTTCACTTCACCCCACCAGAAGAAACTAGTCTGTCTGAGTTTTCTAAATGTTGATGATGCTAAGAAACAATTGAGTCAATTCAGCACTTGCATGTTATTTCAATGGTGTAGTGGAGTTTCACTGCTGGCTTATATCTGGCTTCATTCCCCACAATCAATATCATCCCTAAGGATACAGAACATATTACAAGTTATAAACATGTAGTCAATCAGGCATTTAGTTTTGTAAATTGGTATATGTAAATAATGATACAATTTGTCATGTCTAAAGTGTGTCAATGGAATAATAATTTATGTTATGAAACAATGGTGAAATTATATAAAACCTTGATATTCAATAATGGAATAGAATCTACAACATAAGTCTATATTCAGAAGCCTACCAAATTTGATAGTTTAATCACCAGATATCACTCTTGTTTAATGAGCTGTTCATTGATCATACCTTTGTTACATGGTCACAAAATGCACTCTTAAAAAAGAATGAATGTTAAGATTTAAGGATGTCTAATATTCTCTTTAGATTTTCTTTAAAATATTTACTAGCACCTAAAATATACTATTTAAATATTGACTTTGTGAGATATATATAAATTATAAGCATGGCAGTGAAAAACCAAATAAATTATTTGAAGTATTTTAAAAAGCTTGAATCAAATGAAATATTAAAAAGTGAAGCTAAGACACCAAAACATAAAGAAAATAGCAAAGAACTTTGGAAGTTTTATCTGTGACACTGGAAATATCTCAGCCTCAAAAATGCAAAATAAAATGCATAGTCCAGAAAGCTTTTGTTTTTATTCTAAACTCACTCCAGCCTCAAGCTGGGGACATTTATACTGATTATAGTTCTTAAAAATGTCAATTATGACTTTATAATATCTTATAATATTTGGCAAAATAATCTGTGCATAGAAATTGCTTAGCAATTTTCAGTTGAGCCAAATTCAAAGACTTTGACCAGTTATTATAACATCGGTTCATTTATCAAATTTATTTTTTTAAATCACAACTTTCTGACTTATTCTAACCTCAGTGCTTCCCTGTGAATAGAAACATGAATTAGCTTACCCGCTCTCAGATCTCACAAGTTTCTTGTGAATATACAATGAGTCCAGCAGCCCAATTAACATGACAAAAACCACTGAAGAGATATCCTTCATTTTCCATTTAAAAGTTCAATTTCTTCTGACTCTTGTTTTGGAGAATGCTGAATATACACATGACAACACTCTAGAAAACAAAGTCTAAATTATTTTTACTTTCAAAATTATATTTTTCAGGTGTTCAGCCTAATTAACGTGTGCTTGGACTGAATTAATTGTTTGGCAATTATTAGTAACTTTGCATAAATTATAAAATGCTAATATTTGAGTTATAAATATTGTATATGATTTTATTATTATTGTCATTATTATTATTAAAAAAGGAAAAGAATGGTCATGTCAAATTTTCCTAAAAACAGTATGGATAACCATTACTTATGAGAGATTCCTTCCAGAAATCAAGAAATAATGAAGTAGCATATTTACACTAAGGTGTTTTACTGACATTGCTCCAAAATGAAATACAAACACCAAACAACAACAACAAAACCACCTTAACTTTTTTGTTGTTGTTGTTGTGCTGGATGGTGATGTAGAGATCTGGATTTACTTTTCTTGCATGGTTTGTGTTTGCTGGATTAATATTTTGTAACTGTCCCCATTGTTACTGTCAAATAGGGTTCATGTTTTCTTACTAGGTTTGCTCAATGTAAAGACTAGTGTGGTTAAGGGAATTAATTGATTAATTGGTTTTCTAATTTCAACAAATAACATTTTGTTGTGAATTAAAGCAAACTAGACCTAAATTGTTAACTGAATTAAATGGCCTTTGAACATGATCGCTACATGAAAAATTTAATGAATACTCTGTTTGGAATATGTGCTCAATAGCAATGTATCAAGAACAGGCTTAATATGTCCATTATTTATCATAATATACATTTTACAATACCTGCTTGAAAAATGTTTAAAATTCACAAAATGTTTCCATATGTTTACTTTCTTCAGTTCTTAAGATAAACTTACAAGGTAGATTTTATTATATTTTTTGCAAATGTAGAAACTTGTGAGACTGCAAGTCTTGCCAGCATTTTTCAATAACAATAACAGACGTACATTGGGGGTCCATATATCCCACTATGAAACTGTTTCATAACTTGGGGGATTCATCATACAAAAGGAATGTCTCAAAAAAATGATGAGAAAACAAAGGGATCTTAAATGTTGGATAGAAAATTAGTATCAACGAGATTGTTATATGTTTATCAGATAACTGATTTTTATACAGTCTTTATAAAGTTATTGTAACAAAGAAAAATAAATTTGTGTTATAATTAAATATAACTCCTAAAAGAAAAATTCTGAAGATGTAATCTCATGAATTATATGATGGTTTTAATTTTTCATGTGATAATCAATTACCGTACTAATACTTGATGTATAGTGTACATATATCAAAGGAAGTTTAAAAATCCCATGACTTCGCTCATATATACAATTCCTACAGTCATACAATCAACTTAAAAGACTGCAAGAGCTACATTTACAAATCTTTATCTTTAATCTTTTGTTTTTTGGAGAAAAAGAATCTCCAAATAAAGAACATTTAAATCTCACTTTTACAAAAGGCTGTTCGCTTTATGTTTTCCATTAAGTTAGTGTTCACAAATCCAGAAAAGTGATTAACTGTCAAGACAAAAAAAAAAAAAAAACCAAAGAAAATGAATTTCAACTAACACCAAGGGATAAGACTAAAAATGCAATTCACTATTTTTTTTCATTAATAAATGCCATTGCATCTCACGGTAAAGGTATTTTAAAGTACTTTACACTAAAACTCAAAGAATCCGACAAAATCCAACCAAATATAGCTAATACTGTCTGTGTGGCTAAACCTAAGAAAGAACACTGGATTTCAGCAGGGAAGTGAAGGGATCCTCTGAGGTATGGAGAGAAAGCAAAGCAACAAGACTGGCTGGGATTGACTTGAGGCTAGGAGAAACTTTGCAGTGCAGGGAAAAGGTAAACAAAAGATCCCAGGGCCCACATTCCTACCATGGATGCTTGCAGTCACGGTCACAGACCTCACAGACCCTGAGCCTAATATAGGGAGACACCTGGAGCCCATGTGACTTCCTCATTCTTGAGAAAGAATTCATTCTAGGTCTCGCATAAACCCTAAGACCCAAGCTTCTGCAGCATGGCGCCATTTTGAGAGCCCAGCCATCACAAGACTACATCCTGCCCTGGAACCCAATAGCTTCTGTCTCTCCACATCCCTGGAGCCTGCTGAAATCCCCATGTCCACTCACAGAACTGCAGTGTCACAAAGCCAGCTGTACCTAGTGATGCAGCTGCGTTCTTAGCATCAGCATATTGGTCCATGCAGTGTTCTACAACCTGGAAGATGGGCAGTCCAGTGTACATGGCAGCTGCCCCCAGGACAACAGGAGACAATGTGCATAATCTTCAGAGCCTAGGATACAACTGCCTAGGGCTACTGTCACAGACAGCAACCTCACTACCTCCAGTAGAAGGGCTGCTGCACACCTCTGCAGACTTCATGGGGTTTGAGGATTGACTCATCGTGGACACTGTTCAGACGCCTGAGTATTAGTTAGCACCACTTGTCACTGGTACATGCACGAGCTATTCAAAGCCCCGAGAAGAGGGCTACCCTGACTCACTGCTGCGACAGCTAATGTCCATGTGTGCTGTCAGGACCTGCTCCTGTAGCTGCTGCCACTGCAAACCATGTAAATTTTAGGGAGATCTGCGTAGCCTGCTGTCATTGCCACCAGTGCCCACCCAAATGTAACACTGCTCAGTACCCTCCCATTTACACCAGTTCAGCCCACCGCTTGCACCACCATTGGGCCAATGAAAAAATTAAGAAGGAAATTTAGAAAAAGTCATGAAACAAATTAAAATGGAAACACAAAATACCAAAAACCTGTGGGATATAGCAAAAGCAGTGCTAAGACAGAAGTTTATAGCAAAAAAAGTGCCAAATCAAAAAAAGTACAAAGATTTCAAATAAAAAAAAAAAAACTTAACAATGCGCTAGAACAAACCAAACCCAAAATTGATAGGAGGAAAGGAATAATAGAGATCAGAGAAGACACAGATAAAATAAAGACTAAAAAAAATACAAAAAATCAACCAAAAAAAAGTTGTTTTTTTGAAATGATAAACAAAATTAATAAACTGCTAACTGGATGAACTGAAAATAAAAAGAGAAGACCCAAAAAGTAAAATCAGAAACAAACAAAAAAAAGATACATCACAACTGATACCATCGAAAAACAAAGGATCATTAGAGGCTATTATACACAGCTCTACACTCACAAATTGGAAAATTTAGAGGAAATCAATAAATTCCTTAACACATGAAACCTACCAAGACCGAACTTGGAAGAAATAGAAACCTTGAACTGAACTGATCAAAAACCAGTAATGAGATTGAATCAGTAATGATTAATCTCCCTAAAAAAGGAAATGCCAGGACCAGATGGCTTCACTCCTGATTTCTGTCAAAACTGTAAAGAGAATTAACATAAATTCTTCTCAAACTATAACAAAAAATTGAAGAAGAGAACATTCTTCCCAGTTTGATTCAGGAGGCCAGCATTACCTTGACACCAAAACCAGACAAGGACACAACAACAACAACAACAACAAAATACAGGCCAATATCCCCAATGAGCATAAATGCAAAAAATATCAGCAAAATACTAGCAAATCAAATCCAGCAGCACATTATAAAAATAATGCACCATGATCAAGTAATCTATCCCTTGATCTCATTATACTCAAATCAATAAATGCGGCACATCAACAGAATGAAGAACAAAATCCATAAGCTTATCTCAATAGATGCAGAAAATCTTTCAAAAATTCAGTATCCCTTCATGATAAAACCTTTCAACATATTAGACATAGAAAGAACATACCTCAATATAATAAAGGCCATTTATGACAAGCCCACACCTAACATCATGACAACTGGAGAAAAGCTGAAAGAGTTTCCTATACAAATTCTACAAAGAATGTCTACTCTTATTACTTTTATTCAACATAGGACTGGAAGTCTTAGCCACAGAAATAAGCAAAAGAAATAAATAAAGGAAGGAGATCCAAGTTGGAAAAGGGAGTAAAACCATCCTTCTTTGCAGGCAATATAATCTTACATATAGAAAAACCGAAAGATGCTGTCAAAAGCTGTTAGAACTAACCAATGAATTCAATAAAGGTGCAGTATACAAAATCAGTAGCATTTCTCTACATCAACCACAAACTAGCTGAAAAGATAAATAAAAAATGCAATCAATCCATGTATAGTAGCTTAAAAATAACTAGTAATGAATTTAACTAGGCCAAAGACTACTATAACAAACTATAAAACACTGATGAAAGCAAGTGAAGAGGACATAAACAATTGAAAAGATACCTCATGCTCTTGAATTAAAGAATTAATATTGTTAAAATGACCAAACCACACAGAGCAAACTACAGATTCAATCTTATCTCTATCAAAATATCAATGACATTTTTCACGGAAATTAAAAACCAATTATACAACTTATATAGAACCATAAAACACCCCAAATAGCCAAAACAATACTAAGCAAAAAGAACAAAGCTGGAGGTGTCACACTTACCTGATTTCAAAACATAGTATAAAGCTATAGCAACAAAAACAGCATGGTACTTGCATAAAAACAGATAAATAGACCAAAGGAACAGAAGAGACAGCCCAGAAATAAATCCACATATTTAAAGACAACAGATTTTTGACAAAAGTGTCAAGAACATATATTGGGAAAGGACATTCTGTTCAATAAATGATGCTGGGAAATCTGGATATCCATATGGAGAAGAATGAAACTAGACTCCTACTTCTGATATACAAAAATAAATTAAAAATAAATTACATACTTAAGCATATGTCCTGAAACTATAAAACTTCTAGAAGAATACGTAGTGAAAACACTCCAGGACATTGTTTTAGACGAAGATTTTATGGCTAAGACTTCAAAAACACAGGCAACAAAAACAAAAATAGACAAAACTGACTGTGCTAAACTATTTTGATTCTGCATAGCAAAGGAAACTATGAATAGGGTGAAGAGAAAGTATTTACAAACTCTTCATCCTACAAGGGACTAGTATCCAGCATATACAAGGAACTCAAACAACTTGGCAGAAAAAAAAATTTGAAAGTAGACAAATTATCTTAATAGACATTTCTCAAGAGAAGACATATTAATGGCCAGCAAGTATATGAAAAAATGCTCATCCTTAATTATTAGGGAATTACAAGTCAAAACCACACTATGATATCATCTTATCCAAGATAGATTATTTGTTATAAAAAAGACAGAAAAATAAATGCTCTTAAGGATGCAGAGAATAAGGAACTCATATTGTTAATGGGAACATTAATTGGTAGAGCCATTATGGAAAACAGCATGGGGGATTTCAAAAAAGTGAAAATAGAGGTACCATAAGATCCAGAAATATTGTCACTGGGTATTTATTCAAAGGAAAGGAAACATGTATATCAAAGAGATTCCTGCACCCCCATGTTTATTGCAGCTGTATTTACAAAATTAATATATGAAATCAACCTAAATGTTTATTAAGAAATGAGCAAAAAAATGTCATATATATGCACAAATGTAATGCTGTTCAGCCATAAAACATTAAAATTCTGTCATTAATGGCAACATAGATGGAACAGGAGGACATTATGTGAACATAAGTCGGGCACACAAAGATGAATACCATGTATTCTCACTCATACCTGGGAACTAAAATATTTTTTGAGCTCGTTGATGTAGACAGTAGAATTGTGGGTATTATGGGCTGGCAAGGGGAAAGGGGAGAGTTGGGGGAGGAGGTTGGTTAAAGGATACAAAATTACAGCTAGATAGTAGGAATGATTTCTGGTGTCTGCAACACTGTAGGGTGAATATTGTTAACTATAATTTATTACATATTTCCAAAAAGCTGTAAGAGAAGATGTGGAATAATCACAAAGCAAAGAATTGATAAAGTGGATATACTAATTACCACAATTTAATCATTACATGTTGCATATGTGTATCTGAATATTACTCTACATCCCATAAATATGTACAATTATTAAATGTCAACTACAAATGAAAGGAAAAGGGAATGTTATCCCCTACTGTGGGGATAATAGATATTAACTATCTTCACGTATTTTCACTTCTATCACATCTCTCTAAATATAATTACGCTTATAATAAAGAGAGTTTAGGAAATAAATGTGTAGCTCACCTCAATAAATTAGGAATGCAACAGCAAAATAAAGACAAGAAAAATAAAAGAAAGAAAAAAATTAATGAATTTAAAGCTGGTTCGTACTACCTATGAGAACACATATTAAACATTAGATATGCTTCTTGAAAATAGTAAAACTGATATCTGACACATAATCAAGAACAAAGGATTACATATTGTATGACTCTATTTGTATAAATTCCTTTAGGAAATGAAAAACTATTGAGTCTATCAGTGGTTCCTTGGGCTCGGGTTGGGAACAGGAATTGACTACAAACTGATATGAAGATAATTTGGGGGATAATGGTTGTGCAAATGTATCAATTTACTAAAAATCATCAAATTGTGTACTTACAATGAATACATTTTATGGTTTTTGTTTTATTTTAACTTTAATAGAATTACTAAAAAATTCACTGGTCTCAATTATGTACCTCTAATTTAAGATCATTTTAAAGATCCAAACCCTTTCTGAAATTTTAAAACTGTTATTTAAAAATCTACATTTAATGAGGGCTAGTAGTTTTTTTTCAGGTTTTGTTTTGTTTGTTTTGCTGCATAGGGCCAATAGCATATATTTTAAACTTTGCTTGCCATATGATTTCTGTCACAACTATTCATTCTGCTGTTGTAGAGCACAACACAAATAAACTGTAAGTAAATGAGGGGGAGGGGCCGGTGTTGCCCCAGTGGCTGCTGTATGTCAACCTCTGCTTAAAATCATAAGTATATTTGGGACATATAAAATTTTAAACCAAAATTTAAAAACATCTATTGCTTTTGCATAATAATGTTCTCATACAATTTTGGCCAAGTATTGTTAATCATAGCCGCTTAAAGTGCTCATCTGTGAATTGTGTATAAAATAGCATTGCATATTTTTTAAGTAAAAACTTTGTTTAAATTTAAATGGTTTATTTTTCCATATTAGAAATTTTATTTCTTTTTTCTTTTCCATAATAGTGAGGAATTGTGCTATTAAAATATTTATATTTAAAAGAGTTAACAGTTGCATGCTCACAAAACAAGCTCCATCAGTAATTTTCATTTTGATGGTTTTTATGATAATACACTATAATTGGATTCAGCAGTAAATCCAAAACAGCTCTGAGGCATTGATTTTCCAAACAGTTCTGTCAAAATTATGCAGGAAGAAATGAAGCAGTGGCTTGATGAGGCATATCATGGAATGATTTTGAAATATTTTGCTTACTGAACAAAAGACACTAAGATGTAGATAGTTTGTTTCCTTCAACAGTCGTGGCAAGCATACACATGTTATTAACACAAATAGTTGTTTTTTTAATTGATCATGATCTTTATTTTGCTTACATAAATTTAGGCAAATAAGTGACCAGACCATATTACCAGAAATTTACAAATGCTCTGAGTCTTATATAACAATTTTTTATGTTACTTTCTATTCATACCATACACTACTTTGTGTATAGTAGGGAAATGTTATAATTAATTGACTGAAATTTCTTACATTTGCCAAGATTGTGGTCACTTCTTGTAGTGGCCCATTCTGTTATTGTTTTTAATATAAGAAGTTGGCTACTTAATAGTCCAATTATCCTTAATATTATTTGAAAACTGCCAGGTGAATGCAATGAAATAACTAATAATAATCATGTGCTACTTAAATTTGCTTGAAAACAAGCAAGTTATTTTTAAGGTTCCTATGTTAACTTCATTAACTCTCCTGCCCTCTAAAAAATAAAAACAAAACAACTAATTATCAAACTTTTATGTGGCTATCCTTAGCTTAGCAATTACTTTATTTAATAATAAAATATAAATAAATAATCATATTTCAAAAAATTCAGTCCTAAGAAATCTCATTTGCTTATAACATTGCAAAGTTAAAAACAATCACATTATCTAAATTGAATAATCAATTAAATCAATTTTGACCTCATTGTGTTTCATGTATAATAACATCAGATAAGAATATTCAATTGCATGGAAAATGTTAAGGATGCAATAGTAAATGAAAAAGAGCATGGTCAGATAGATCTTTCACATTCTACATTGTTAAAAGAGAAAAATTCAGTTATTTAAATTTATTTAGTTGGTACCTCATAGTGCCAAACTAAATTTCACTGTGGGAAAATTGGAAACAAAAACTATTAAATAACTCCAATCTTTGTATCTAATCCCTTGTAAAGAATTCTGAAGCGGGCCTGGTGCGGTGGCTCACGCCTATAATCCCAGCACTTTGGGAGGCCAAGGCGGGCAAATCACCTGCGGCCAGGAGTTCAAGTCTAGCTTGGTCAACATGGCGAAACTCTGTCTCCACTAAAAAACAAAAATTAGCTGGGTGTGTTGCCACACACTTTTAGTCCCAGATACTAGAGAGGTACAATTACTATTAATAAATATTTGTATATTTCCTACTACTTGTAAAGTATTAATATTCATGTGGTTGTTATTCAACTGTGTAAAAACTACTGTTCTCGCTATTGTACAGATGAGAACTCAGTGCTAGAGATGTTATCTATCACACTTGGCAAAAGCCTCCTAGAAGTAAATTCAGAGCCCTAGATTTCCACTTAACCCTTCTCCTCACCAATCCCCATTCTTTTAACTGTTCAAGGATACCTTCCTCAGAGATATATCACCTTTTCAGAATGTCACTGGAAATCCCATTCCAGTAACTTTTTTGTTTTACAATATTAAAGGAGAAATAGGAATTTCTTTTGGTACTGCTTAATTCATAAGCTGCATTATTCAATATCCACTCAAGAGAAGCACAAGTATTCTATGTTTCAAGCAAAGAGGACTTTAATGGAGCCCATTACTCAGTTATTTATTTAGTAGAATTTCTGTTCCACCTTAATATTTTTACATCTGTATATCGATTATCATTATATGCTTTTTAAAAATCAACTGACCCTTTTACTTAAAAAAAAACATTTTTAAAGTGAATGAGTGGATGGACTTACAGTAACAAGATCCTAAAAGGAAGTGGCACACCACATTGGGGTAGGAAAAATAAATGCTGGGGCAAGACCAGGGGCAGTGGGCCTATGGCTGGTGGTCTGTGTCCCAGAGTGTCACAAAATATGAGACATCGAGCAGGATCAGATACATAAGTTGTGGGGCCCAGTGTAAAATGAAAATGCAGGGCTTTTAGTTCAAATATCAAGTAAAAAGTGCTGCCAATTGTACATATAAAGGTCTTTCTTTTTTTCCTGTGCTCTCTTCTTTAATTTGTCATGGTGGCTTTATTTTTTTATTTAATGTTATTGTAAATAAAAACAAATCAAGGTTTTAAATCATTAGCATAATTCCTTTGCTTATTTCTGGAGGCTCCCTCTAAATAGTCAAAAGAGATGAATGCAAACTTGTCTCCTTTGGTGGAAGACAGAATCTGTCCAAGAAAGGCATGAGGTTGGTCTAGGGAGCACTCATGTAGTCGGGGACAGGGATACTTGCAGAAAGGCAATACCCAAACATGTCAAGAATGTTTAAATACATACACAAGAACTTGCTCAGTAGCTGAACTGGGGACCAATGAGAGCTTTGATCCCACAAGAAAGCAGCCTCTGTCTGGCTGCTCCCCAGATACACTGTGAAACTGCCAACCAGGGGAGGGGTCACCCTCCCCAGTACCTCTTCTCAAGACTGTAAGGGGCATGCCAACCTGACTCTGATCCTCTCCACACACACACCCAGGAAGGGGAGTGTGGTAGTGGTCTCTGGATCAGGACAGAGAGACAGAGACCTTGAGAAGCCCAGAATGCAAGTGTATAGGGGAGTGAGCAACCAAGAACAGGTCCCATGGCAGTGGCAAGAGGCACCTCTGAGGATCCAAGAAGAGGGACATGCTCCATGGCCTCATCAGAATCCGCTGAGAAAACATTAAGTTCAAACAGAAAGCTATTGAGAGTGTCAAGATGACAACCACAGAGCATTAAACCCTAAGTGTGGGCTCTTTTGAGCTCAGGTGTCAATGACAATGCACTAGTTGCACATCCAGGAAGCTCACCCTGACAGTACCTCATTGATGACATGTAAGAAGCAAAAAAGCATGAGTTATTTGAATCTAGTAGGTGAAGGGAGAATAAATCCTAAAATGGGAAATCTGAATTGGATATTAGAGATATAAGGAAAGGCACTTCATGTAAGGGTTGGTAGTACTAAAGAAAAATATTTGCTTCCCAACAGACCAGTAGACCCTAAAGAAAGAACTGAAATCATAATAAAAAAGAACAGAGATCAGTGTGGTTATGTTTTAGGAAGAAGGACGTGGCAGGGGGAAACCTGAGGATGAAGAAAATCAGAAATAAGGGGAGCTAAATAAAGATGCAAATGTGATGCTGAAGGAAGGGTGTGGGTCAAGGGAAATGCACAGAAAAATATGTGGGTATCTGCTGTAATCAGTCCCAGCTGTTTGGCAGGCCGAGGCAGGTGGATCACTTGAGGCCAGGAGTTTAAGATCAGTCTGTCCAACATGGTGAAGTCACATCTCTGCTAAAAAAAAAAAAATTAGTTGGGCGTAGTGGTACACACCTGTAGTCTCAGCTACTCAGGAGGCTGAGGGAGGAGAATTGCTTGAACTTGGGAGGCAGAGATCTCAGTGAGGCAAGATCGTGCCACTCTACTCCAGCCTGGGCAACGGAGCAAGACTCTGTCTCAATCTAAACTAAACTAAACTAAACTAAACTAAACTAAACTAAACTAAACTAAACTAAACTAAAACAAAAAAAAAAATATGTGGGTATCACAAACATACTGAGGGATTGATGCTGTGAAATTAGGAGACCCTTCGGCAGGGAAGAGGACATATAAAGAGAGAGAAATGATCAAAAAGAGCATTTCTTCTATCACAGACTTCTAATGCTGTAGGATCATGAGCTCAAAAGTCCAGGAACCATCCCGCAAGTAAAATCAAGTTTGAATGGCAGGAATATTCGTATACAAAACAGGATAAACAAAGGCCTTGTTCAATTCCCTAGCCATATTTCTTTTTCCTCTCAGATAATGACAGTGAATCCGAATAAGATATCTTAAATAATATCACACAAACAATAGCGATTTTTCCCTTTGTTAGCATTCTGTCAGTCAGTTAGGCATCTTCAATTAAGATTTAGAGAGCTTTTCTAATTTTTCATATTAATCAGTAAGATGCTTTTCACAGTGTAAGCACTCAATTAATCTGCATTTAAAGCATTAAAAAACTCTTAATTATTGTATGTATACAAATTTTTAAAAGGAAAAGAAATCCAAGTTGTTCTCATTACTAATAATAACTATATGCTCACACCTGCCCATAACACTTTAGAATATACATTCTCTCTTTCTCTCCCTCTCCTTCTAGACCCCCATCTCTCTTTTACTCCCTGTCTTTGTTTTATTTATTTTTTGTTTATTTGTTTTTCCTCCTCCTACCATATCTGACTCATTGTCTCTCCCGGGTTACCACACTTCTCCCAATACATTCTTGACATATCCTACCCATATCAAACTTATCTCACTATTTCAATTATTTAGAGGTTTCCTCAAAAGTACCTTCCTCTCTGGCCCCTCAAAGTTCATGTCTTTCTTATGTGCAAAATGCATTCATTCCATCTCAACAGTCCCTAGAGTCTTAATTTATTTCAGCACCAACTCTAAAGTCCAAAGTCTCATCTAAATATTATTTAAATTTGATATGGGTATAATCAAGGTACAATTCATCCCGAGGCAAAATTCATTAGATCTTAAGGCTTGAGAATAATCCTCTTTGGTTCCATGTCTGGACTTCTGGGCCCAGTAATATGGCAGCAAGACCCCCA
Source organism: Homo sapiens (assembly GCF_000001405.40). Classification (NCBI taxonomy): domain Eukaryota; kingdom Metazoa; phylum Chordata; class Mammalia; order Primates; family Hominidae; genus Homo; species Homo sapiens. The sequence continues at coordinate 66,738,708 of NC_000006.12, read as the reverse complement.
CAGCTCAAGGCAATAATCCCACACACAAAGCTTCATGTAAGCCTTCTAACCGGTTGATACCTTGCTGGTGACCCTGATGATGTCTGAATTGCCTTTGGGATCATTTTTTACTCTCTTTGAAAAATAATGCATGTTCATAGCCTAATAGTTCTACCATCCTGCCCTGCCAAATCCCAAAAGTCAAAGAGCCTTCCTTAATTTAGTCCATCTCTGTTCCCTTCGGTTCAAACTGGAAATGTTTCTGGTTGTATAATGCCACATTTTGTCAAGTGGTTGGTTGGCCGCATCTTTAACCTTCTTTTCAGAACAAGCTGTTCATTTTCTTGCAATATGGGTAGGCTGAGGATTTTCCAAATATTCAAGTTCTGATTGCTTTTTGTTTAACAATTTCTTTTTCAATTCATAATAACAATGAAGCAAGATAATATTGTCTTGCTGTTAAAACTCATAAGCCAAAATTTGGCTCAAAATCACTCAGAAATGAAACTAAGTTTTCCCACATGTAATTATAAAAAACATAATATATTTTCAAGAAATTTTAAGCATTATTTCTTTCAAGGTTGTATATATCTTAACTGCCAAACAACAGGCTCAAGTCCAACTATATGAATTTCTTACAGAGAAAAATTGGCATCGTATTTTCACTAGTCCATGTGGACATGGCAGGACTCGTTAAAAATGTAAAACTTCACTCAGATCTTCATAAGCTTCACAGGTCCACTAAAGTTTGAAAAAGTACTTTAAATAACCTTGTAGAAACAATCATCTACTTCACTTTTGACTAAGAACAGAACCAATAAATTTATTTAACTAATGGACATTCAAAAAAGTTAATTTGTTTTATAAAGGTTATGTTTCTTTCAAATAAACAGTTTTTATAACGTGTATTCAAATTCATGGTGAATGAAAAGTTGAAAACACATTGTTATATTTTATACATTGGTTTTTAAGAAGATAATAATGACTTCCAGTTCACACTGGCTTAATAATGCTTCAGGAGAGATTACACTATTCAAATGACATGTAATTTAGCTGAAAAATATCATCTAACATTTTTTGTTCACCCAAAGTGATTGATCATCTCAATGGTGAATCTCAAAATGATGCTTAGCTATAATTGGAACGAAAATTTTAAATATTCCATTTTGACCATCAGACATTCTTCTAGCTTTTCATTATTCAGACCAAGTATTGTCATGAAAATGAATTCATCAATGTAACAGAGATAAATGAGCCAACACAGAACGGACAGAACTATCTTCCGGTTCTTAGGAAGAAAATTGTCTCATTGCCCTATTATATCAGTGACAAAGACGTCTGGACTTTATGAGCATATCTTTCCATTTAGTCTTTTTAAAATATTAATGACTGAATGATTTAACCTCAAAGGTAGGTTCAAGAAAGTGCTTAGAAAGTACTTCCAAGGTTGAAGACTGAAGATACAACTAATACAATTATCTAAAAGATTAGTATACTTCATGCAAGCAAGTTCATAAAGAATATTATTAATAACCTGAAAAATGTAAGTTAAATAAAGCAATTTAGTTAGTCAAAATATTCATATTTTAAACATAAAATTACCTACTAGGCAATCATGTAGTAATGCAATCAAAACATATTTTATATACATAATGCATTATAGGAGGTTTCTTAGCTTTAAGTCAAATTATCTAAGCCATTCAGATTCAGGCATGGGTGGAAATAATTGAGAAATGGTAGACTGAGCTTTTATAGATTTTACTTTCATGAAGAATTGATGAGTATATGAAATAAATCTTATTTTAAAGGAAGTTGCACACATGCTCATTGAGTTACTTTTATTAACAAAACCTTGGTGTTCATGGGAATGATCCTCATTTCCAGATCATGGCATCTGTCGTTAACATGTATCACCTGTCCAGTCTATGGACTTATGCTTGGATCTTAAATAAATAAATATTTTATGTATATATTTAAAGTACACAACATGACATTTTAAAAAAGTTATTTAAGTAAAAAATGGCAAGTGCGCACACACACACACACACACACACACAGCAACAGTGTTGTTTTAGACTACTCCAGCTACTGCAGAAATATGTTTCTTACAGCTCTGGAACCTGGGAAATCCATGGTCAAGGAACATGGTGGATTCAGTGTCTGGTGAAGGCCCACTCTCTGGTTCATCTATGGCTTTCTTTTCCCTGAGATCTCAGATGGCGTAAAGGACATGGGAGCTCTCCAGTGTCTCTTTAATAAGGACACTAATTACATTCATGAGGGCTCTGCTAATTGATCTAATAACTTACAAAGTCCCCTCCTTCTCATACCATCACATTGAGGGGCTTGGATTTCAGCATATGAATTTTGGAAAACACAAACTGTCAGTATATTGCAAATGTGTAGTAACCTCTTTAACTGTGTGTAATTTACAAGTATGGGAACCACAGAACACATTGGTAGTTTGGCAGCTTGAAGTTTTCAGATCAGTAGAACATCCCCAGTGGAGAATGGTGAAAAACTGCAGAAAGGCTGAAAAATAACTTAAAACTCATTGTTCCCTGTGAGAATGAGATAATAATAGTTGCAATGACTGAGACAAGCTTTGTGGTAGCTGCTCAGATTTATATATCAGAACTTGTATGTAAAAGATACAAAAAATAAAAAATGCTTAAAGGAAGAGACCATGGTAGACTGTGCTCAGTATGAGGAAGTAGAATCCATAAAATATAAAAGTTATCAATAATATGATCAAACTGTGCCTACAGATAGATTACACCTTCAGAAATAATTTAAAATAACGTTTTGCTATTTTAAAAAGTTTCCTAGTTCATGAATAAAAAAGAATATTAGATTGTTTCTAAGTTGATGACACTAAATGTATTATTTCTCTGGTTGTAGTGGACTAAAAGAAAACACTGAAATAAGTACTTGTATATCTTTACTCTTTATAATCATGCCTCCAGCACATACACTTAGGAACTCACATACACATTCACAAAGATATGCATACAGAGTGAACAAATAAACAGTCAAGCACACGATTCTCATGTTAATGTGATTTGTTAAGATGCTTATAACCTCCTTGCCTAACACTAAAATACTGAACAAAGTGATAGGGTACAGGTTTTTCTACCAAGAAGTAGCACATTTTTGAAAACCCAAGCAAAATATGAGAACAATGAAAATTCAGTGATTTGGATAGGATCACAGAGAAGGTACGAAAATTGGTCCACTGAATTCCACACCCAAAATATGATGGAAGAAATATCGTGACATAAAAAAACATCCTTTTTTTTTTGGCCTACTTTGTTAAACAGAGAAGTTTTCTGCTATTAACCTGAGGCAACTGAGTAGAGAAATGTAAATTAAAAAAAAAAAAAGTCCTAACCTTATACTTAGCCTCCCAATGAGTCATGATGACCTCTTGCTCAAACGTAGGAAGTGGAAAGATAAAAAGCTGAGAGGCACTATACATCCAAATTAGCAAATGGAGCTAACACGCAAGAGAAAATGTTTTGAAAAATCTGATTACAGCTTCCAGCTGCTTTAGCTCATTTCTTCACTTCCTTCTGTCATATTTTTCAGCACATAGAAGGTCAAGATTAAACCACTTTTATCAAATAAACAAATCGTAAGTAATATCAGATAATTTACTCATTCAGAATATCTCCAAAACAGAAAACAAACATACAAAACTTCAAGAAAGATATTATACATGAGAATAATAATTCTAGAAGAAGTAAGAATTTGCCAGAAAATAATGTTCAATATTCTAAACCAAATTAAAGGGTAAAAAAAAAGGACCCTATAAAAATATTTCTCTATTGAGACACAGGAGAAGAGAAAACAAATGAAATTTAGCTAACAGATGAGCTAAAGCTAATAATATTTTTCATATGTCTCATGTTTCAGAAAATAAATGGAAAATAAGGATGTTCAAAACTGAGAGCAGAGCCATATAGAAGTAGCAAAATTAAATATTTTATACTGGTAACACAATCTTTAATAAGAAAAATGACAGAACTGCTAGGAAAAAATTAAATTAAATAATTAAGTAATAAATAAAGATTAGAGACATTAGAAAAAAGAGCAAGTCATTGTGATATGCCTCATTTGTATTATTCAGGCACAAAAACCTAGGAGACAAATACACATTTAGGTATATGACCAAAGAAAATTTTTCTGAAGTAAAGAAAGAATTAATTCTTCTGCTTAAATGTGACCTCTGTGTCTCAAGGAAAAAACTCTACAGAAAACCAATATCAAGAAAAAGTACAATGAAGTTAAATTTCAAAGAATCAGAAAAGACAGTATGGATTCAGGCAAAAAGACAAGGAAAAGACAGCAAGCTCATCTCAGATTTCTCCAGTGCAACATTCAATTGCTAGAAGACACTGGAACAAGAAATAAATTCTGATTAAAATGTATCACCCAGGAAAACTCAATGCAGAAACATTTTTATTTAAGTATAAATGCAATGCTTAGTATGCTAAAACTCATAAGATACAGAATTTCTCAGACCCTTGGAAAAATAATTTTAAGTTACCACAGATTTCAAAAAACTAGAAGAGTGTTAATTAGGCAATGAAGAAGTAGCGGTTGCAGGGTTGAGAGTGAGTTCTGCATTATTTTTGAAATCTAACAAAATAAGATAATTCTAACTATGGAAGCTTGTGTTGAATATCAATTTTGGAAATAGAAAAATAATATAATATCATTAAAAAGAGTAAATAAATGTCAAAAGAAGAAAATGTTGGTAACTCCGGCTTTTATGAAAAAATAATATCGTATTAAAAATCAATAACTATGGAAACAATAAATGTGTTCATTTTAAATTTTGCAGATGAAGACAAACACTAACTCATTAAATAAATAAATTAATTAATAATAGAGAACAAATCAAGTTACCAGAAAGAAAAAGCTACATTTCACCAAATCAAAGCCTCCATCAATGTTTTAATGATATACCCAAAATTTTATATCATAAAGGAAAGAAAATAGATGCTATTAGTTAAACTATCAAAATTTTCTCCATTTTTGAAAATCTTCTTTTCTTAGGTCCTATGAAACCCTTCCTCGGTGCTTTGATAGTAAATATAAAATTCATTCATTCTTCCAATAATGGATATTGACCTCACTAATATCAAAATTTTACTCATTCCTATTTTATTTCTGGAATATTTTGGGTACAAAATAACTTAGTTTTATTTTAATGCTAAATTATAATGTAATCTTTTCAGAGACATATTTAGAGTTAAACTCAACATGCCTAGTACACAAATTCCAGTAACTTATTATAACTAATGACCATATGTACAGCATGACCAAGTTCAACTATACAAGTCAGTAATAACCAAATTTGGACTACAGTTTAACCGAAATGGTTGTAAGATGTATTTTTATTATGGAGATATCTAAATGTAGGGAAAAATGTATCTTAGAATTGGTGAATATAGTACTTTATATAATGCATAGAATTTATTAGAAAACAAAAAGGCAGAATGTATAGCAAAATTTGAAAAAATAGAGATTTAAAAATTGTTGAAAAACAATTTTATAAAAGAACTAAAAAATCCCTTATATTTTAAAGTAAATTAGATAAAGTAAATGAGCAAACACAAATTTATGTTGTAAAGCAGGTTTTATTAAATTAAAGGAAACAACAGCATGCAAATTAAATCCACACACCCCATAATTCAACAGAAATTGTACTGAAGCACTCATCTCAAGAAAAATAACAAAATAAATTAAAGATATAAAGAAAAAAAGAAAGTCATAAACAGAAATTAACTGAAATAAGAGAAGAAAAATTAATCAATAAAACAAAGAGTTGTTTCTTCGATTAAAAATATAATAATAATAACAACCAAAAAAACCTTAGGGGAGACAGAAGCAAAAATAATAACAATAATAATATGTATATAAACAAATTTAGAAATATGAATATGAAAATAACTGCAATTTTAGAGAAAAATATTAAAATAAATTTTAATTCACTACAAATACATTTGGAAAAATTTGGGACAGTTTTTAGAGAAAATGCGGTATTACAAATATTTAAAAAAGAACATACTAAAGAAATCTACAAGAACAATTAACACGATATTGAGACTTAATTTTTAAAATTTACATCTCAATAAGTGTCTGCATGAATAATTTGACAAAATGTTTCAAAATTTTTATTTATTTATTTATTTATTTTTTCATTTTTGAGACAGAGTCTCCCTCTGTTACCAGGCTTGAGTGCAGTGGCGCTATCTTGGGTCACTGCAACCTCCGCCTCCTGTGTTCAAGCAATTGTCCTGCCTCAGCCTCCCGAGTAGCTGGGACTACAGGAGCGCACCACCAGGCCCAGCTAATTTTTGTATTTTTAGTAGAAACGGGGTTTCACCATGTTGGCCAGGATGGTCTCGATCTCTTGACCTCGTGATCCATCTGCCTTGGCTTCCCAAAGTACAGGGATTACAGGCGTGAGCTGCCGCGCCTGGCCTCAAAATTTTAAATAAGGAGTAGTACTGATTTCATTTTAACAACTCTGCAATAAAGTGAAAGTACAAAAGTTACCAACTAATTTCTACGTTTAATGTTTTCATAAAGTAGCACTAGTCTTATACTAAAAAGTCAGAGTGAACCACTCCTAGAATGGATGATTAATACACAACCTCTGAAAATTTTATCTTCTGTAAAAGTGGTGAGGACAACAGCAAAAATTGGCAAAATCAACTTTGTAAACACTCTAAATTAATAAAAGGCTTTCAACAACCGGAAGAGCATTTATTTAAGAAAAAAATGTCGGAATCTGAGTGAGAATGGCAGGCTTGTCGGGTTTTAAATTGCCCTGTTCCTACATCCTGTTTCCAGCCCCATGACAGCCTCAAAAACCAGTAGTCATGCAAGAGTGGTAACAATTGAAAGTAGCAGCTTAACAGCCATTGGAGAAAACAGAATTAGATTGGAACTCACCCTAGCTGCAGAGTATTGTCACTGTATTGCCTAGCAATTAAATTAGTTTCCTAGTAAAATCTTATTCTCAGGGATGGTCTTTATTTTATCTGATTTAGAGCTCAGTAGGTGGGAACTAACCTATCCTCAATACAGGTTTTGTTTTGTTTTGTTTTGTTTATTTTTATACATTTAAGGAGTACAAATATGGTTTTGTCACCTGGCTGTATTGCAGAGTGTAAAGTCTGGGATTTTAGTGTGACCACTGTCTGACTAATATACTATGGAAAACAGTATGGATATTACTCAGAGAGCTAAAAATAGAACTACCATTCAATCCAGCAATCCTACTACTGGGTATATACCCAAAGAAAAATAAATAATTACATAAAAAAAGATACCTGAACTCATATGTTTCTTTCGGTGATGTTTTGCAAATAATCAGTGATTTTTAATGTCTTATCTTCCTAAAGTGGCAATACCAGCTGGAAAAAACAAGAGGCAGAGCTAAAACTCTGAAAAGAAAGAACTGGAAAATAAGATGTCCACAGGGGGCTTTAAAAACTCCAACATATTTATCTATTATGCCACACATATACACAGAACTGTGTGCACAGCCAAAAGAGAGTTGAGAAGGCCTAATTCCTTACTTCCGATTGATTTTTAAGGATCTTTGCATGCAGGAAATAAAGGTTAAGACAGAGCTGTAAAATTGCAAAACATCAAAGGAATGCTTTAGCACACATCCAGAACCCCTCAGCAAAGGCTGGGAGACTTACTGATTCAAGGCATTTAATGAAATATCTGTCCAATTATTAGCTGATTAATAAGCAAAATAAGTTGAGTCTACCATGGCTGTATATGACAAAGAATATATAAAAGTATTAGGCTGTTCTTGCATTTCTATAAAGAAATATCTTAGAGTGGGTAATTTATAAGAAAAGAAGTTTAATTTTCTCACACTTCTGCAGGCTGTACAGAAAGCATGATGGCATCTGCTTCTGAGGAGGCCTCAAGGAGTTTTACTCATGGCAGAAGGCAAAGCAGGAGCAGTCACTTCCCATGGCTGAGGCAGGAGCAAAAGAGCAAGTAGAGGAGATGCTGTACACTTTTCAACAACCAGATCTCATGAGAACTCACTCACTATAATGGGGACAGTACCAAGGTAGCTGGTGCTAAACCATTTGTATTAGTCTGTTTTCATGCTGCTGATGAAGACGTACCCGAGACTAGGTAATTTATACAGGAAAAAGTGTTTAATGGACTTATAGTTCCACATGGCTGGGGAGGCATCACAATCATGGCAGAAGGCAAGGAGAGCAAGTCACATCTTAAGTGGATGGTGGCAGGCAAAGAGATACAGAGCTTGTGCAGGCAAACTCCCATTTTTGTTTGTTTTGTTTTTCTTTTTGTTTTTTGTCTTGAGACAGCACGAGACTGGAGTTCAAGACTGGCTGGAGTTCAGTAGCACGACCTTGGCTCACTGCAAACTCTGTCCCCCAGGTTCAAGTGATTCTCCTGTCTCAGCCTCCTGAGTACCTGGGATTAGAGGCGTGTGCCACTGCACCAGGCTAATTTTGTATTTTTAGTGGAGAGGGGTTTCACCATGTTGGCAGGCTGGTCTCAAACTCCTGATGTCAAGTGATTCACCAGCCTCAGTCTCCCAAAGTGTTGGGATTACAGGTGTGAGCCACCACACCAGACCCAAACTCTTGTTTTTAAAACATCAGATCTCCTGAGACTTATTCACTACCAGGAGAACAGCATGGGAAAGAACTGCCCCATGATTCAATTATCTCCCACCGGGTCCCTCCTACAACATGTGGGAATTATGGGAGCTACAAGATGTAATTTGGGTGGACACACAAAGCCAAACCATATCATTCTGACCATGGCCCCTTCCGAATCTCATGTCTTCACACTTCAAAATCAATCATGCCTTCCCAACAGTCCCCCAAAGTCTTAACTCATTTCAGTATTAACTCAAAAGTCCACAATCCAAAGTCTCATCCTAAACAAAGCAAGTCCTTTTCACCCATGAGCCTGTAAAATCAAAAGCAAGTTAATTACTTTCTAGATACAATGAAGGTACAAGCATTGGGTAGATACAGCCCTAAATTAGCCTAAACACAGAGGCTACAGGGTCCACACAAGTCTAAAATCCAGCAGCGCAGTCAAATCTTAAAGCTCCAAAATGATCTCCTTTGACTCCATGTCTCACTTCCAGGTCATGCTGATGCAAGAGGTGGGTTACCCTGAACTTGGGCAGCTCTGCCCCTGTGGCTCTGCAGGTTGCAACCTCCCTCCTGGCTGCTTTCACTGACTGGTGCTCAGTGTCAGTGGTTTTTCCAGGCACAGGGTTCAAGCTGTTGGTGGATCTACCATTCTGGTGTCTGGAGGATGGTGGTGGGAACTATGGGAGCTACAATGTGAGATTTGGGTTGGGACACAGAGGCAAATTATATCACCACTCATGAGAATTCCACCTGCATGATTTAGTCACCTCCCACCAGGCTCCACCTCCAACATTGGGATTACATTTCAATATGTGATTTGGGCAAGTACACACATCCAAACTATATCAATATTTTGAAGAATTAGTTCAGGAAAGTCATTAAATGAACAAAGAACAATAATAATAGCAGCAATAACACAACTCTGAAGACAAGGGATAAAATTGATTTCCATGGTTGTATTTCCATGCTGTATTATTTAATATGTGTGACTGTTAAAAAATGAGGTACAAAAAGAAACAGGAAAGTATGAACCACACACAGAAGAAAAGCCAAGCAAAACAGTCAATAGAAACTGCAACGATGAAGCCCAGATGTTGAACTTACTAGACAAAAGTTTTTAAATTAGCTATTAAAATATATTTTTCAGTTTTACAACTCTTTTAGAATGTGTCTAGTAGATTTTCTGGTCTTTACCAGAAAGACTCCCTGCTACCAAAAAAAAAAGATTGAAAATATGTTCGAAGAACTAAAGAAAATTATGCACAAAGAATTAAAAGAAAATATAGAATGATGTTTACAATGACAATATAAAGAAATATAATTTTTAAAAAAGAACCATATGTAAATGCTAAATTTGAAAAGTATAATAACTGAAATGAAACAGAGGTACAACATTTTCATCTGGCAAGAGAACAAATCATAAAATTCAAAGATACACCAATTGAGGTTATTTAGTCTTTAAAAAAAAAGAGAAAGAACAATAAACAGAGCTCCAGTAGCCTCCAGGGCATCATCACGCTTATTGACATGTGTTGAGAGTGTCACAAGAAAAGACAGACAAAAAGTGGCAGGAATAATATCTGTGACTTTGGAAAGTCTAAACTCTGCCTTAATCTTCATTTTCCAAGAGTGTTTAAAAAAAACAACAACACATTAATGGATACACTAAAAAGGCTCAAAAAACTCCCAAGGAGATAACTCAAAGAGTTTAAACATAAACATCTAGAAACGTCGTAGTCAAACTGTTGAAAGCCAAAAAGATATTTTTTTCCAACTTTTATGTTAGATTCAGGGGCTACACGCACATGTTTGTTACAAAAGTATATTGTGTGATACTGAGGTTTGGGGTGTGATTTAACCCACATCCAGGAGTGAGCATAGTACAAAACAGATAATTTTTAAAGTGGCAAGTGAAAAATGACTCAAAATATACAAGGGAGCTTCAGTAAGTTCAACAGCTGACTAATCATCAGAAGCACTAGAGCCATAAAGTGGTGAAATGACATATTAAAGTGTTGGGGAAAAAAAGACTGTCAATCAATAATTATCTAGCCAGCAAAACTATGTTTCTAAAATAAAGGAAAAATATAGACATTCTTGAATTAATTAAAAAGAAAGCCTGAGAGAATTCATAGCTAGTAGCCCTACTCTGTAAAAAATAGTACAGAAATATCATATGGCCAAATGAAGAAACACTGCTGAATGACTTGAATCTATGCCAAGAAATAAAGAGAAAGTATATGGAAAAGGTAACTACATAGGTAAAAATAATAATTTAAAAAACAGTATAAATGTAGTTTTAGTTTGTAACTCTTCTTCTTCTTTATAATTCGTATGTCTTACTGGTTCACGATATTTGTAGAATTCTCTGTTTGATTACTAGCTGTTCAATAAGCTAAATAAGTTGAGTCTATCATGGGCACACATGACAAAGAATATAGTTTAAAGCATGCATAGACCTGTGTACAGCAATAGTCATAAAATTGTACCATCACTAGTACAAAGGAGGAGAGAAGAAATTGAGCTAACTTGATATTTTATATTGTATGTAAGATAAATTGCTATAAATCTGAACTATATGATTATAGCTAACATGCTAATTATAATCCTCAAGGAAACCAATAAGAAAATAACCTAAAATATAGTAAAAGGAAACATCTGGTGAATTAAAATGAACATTAGAAAATATCTATTTAATAGAAGACAGGAATAGAGAAACTTAATGACCTAAGACATATAGGAAACAACTAGGAACTTGATAGATATGAATCCCACATTATTAATAATTGTATGAATTATAAATGGATTAGTCATTCCAATAAAAAAACTGAGATTAAAGAAACACACACACACACACACACACACAAATCATGATCCAACTATATACTATTAATAAGAGACACATTTTAGATTCAACCTTCATTCTGAAGGGTATAAGCCCTCGAGAATGCACTCTTCTCAGCTTGGGTTGCTGCACACAGGCATGCAAGTTTATAACAAAGCAAGAGAGTACCAAGAGGTACCGAAGTGGATCAACTGTGTTCTGTAAATATCCCAACTGCTTTGTGTAAAAGCAGCCCTATATCCAGCTTCTGATATGAATTACAAACCTGTCATGGCTGAGACTCCTCCTTTCTCCTGTTGTTCCCTGAACAGAAGAAATTAAAGTGTCATGGTGGCAATCATAACTTTGTAATATAATGGAACACTTGCTGTGTTCTCAGGCCAGTGTTCTCACTTTAGGGACCAGGACTTCTAAACCTGAGGAACCAGATTTGCATGGACAGAAACCATTGAGATCCCAGTGAGTGAGATGGTATATAAAGTCAATCCTATCCCCTACCCCTTCACCCCCTTGGAGTCTCACTCTGTCACTTGGGCTGGAGTGCAGTGGTGCCATCTTGGCTCACCAGAACCTCTGCCTCTCAGGTTACCTCTCTTGGTTTTTGGACCCATTCACTCCTCTTTTGGGGGCACAACAACATACAGAGGTTATTGCTTTAATGAGTATACTCTATCTGATGTATAATGCCTTATTTTTAAAGAGTGTTTCTCTATTCTTGTGTTTCAGCTGAGCCTAGGAGGCAGTTTCAGTGCTCTAGGATGTGTGGATACAATTCTTTGGTATTGGGTTCAATTTTACACCTTCTTTGCTGTGAAATTTTATATCACTGGAAGTTTTTGGGTTTTTTTTGTTTTGTTTTGTTGTTTGGTGGGGGAAGAGGGGTTATGTCTGTTGGTAAGGAATGTTGCAAACCTCCAGACAGTTTTTGACTGAGGCTCTACCTACGGGGAAGGCAACTCCATGTGCATAATAGGTATCTATCGCTGTACAAAAAAAACAAAGCAAAACGAAAAGAAAAACAAAATAGAAACAAAACAAAACAAAACAAAAAACAAACTGTGGACTCTGAAAGAAGAAAGGGTCCCAATGTACTTGATTTGTAATCGAATGGCTTTTTAACTTCTCAAGGAATAATGCCATACTGGAGGTTCAGCATTAGACTTTTTTGCTTACAGGTTGGACATTCAAGGATAGCAGTAACAAAGCTGACTGTGGTAAGTGAGACTACGCTGTTGGTCCCATCCATATCCTTCATCTATCACCATGGCTACTCTGTACTATTGTGTCCCTTTTACCAGCTCTTTGGTGAATGATCAACTGACTAAGTTTTTTAGCCTATTCAGCTATTTAGTACTTTTTCATGGTGGATTCTTATTTATGTGATAAAAATCTTATCACTGCATGCTCATTACCGTATGTTCATTGACATACCTCTACCCAGACCTTTGTATCTACACTCCTTTCGACTATTTCTTTTTAAATGCTGATTAAGTGATTAGGTCATTGGCCATTGCCTAGGAATTGATATGTATTTTTGCTACTACTTTGAAAAAGATACAGTTCTAAGTACAAAAGTATGCAAAAGTACATAACACATATCACTGACTTTTAAAGAATTTATCATAATTCATTTTACAGAAAAAAGTAATGAGCAATAAATAATGTTTCCTGATGTTTTATATGATCCTTTTTAAGGCAGACACCATTACTTTAAATGGTGAATTTCACTCTAAGCACATGCTAAATACTTAGTGTAGTATTTGCCACCTGGTATCTTATTCATACACGTATCCCAACTTTCAGATCTCCAGAGACCATTGATTACCACAGAGAACACAAACTATTCATAGTTGTTCAGGGCTTAGTAACCAAAATTGTATGTGTATGTAGTGTGTGCATGTGTAATGTGTGTGTGGTGTGTGTGTGTGCAAGGAGATTAAAAGAAAGAGCAAAAGATAGTGTCAGAGAGTATAAGAAAACTTAAAAACAATTTTCAAATCTGCTATTTATTCCAAAAAGCAAACTAATAATATACTGTTAATTTGCTCTTGAGATTGAGAGAGCAGTCTTTTAATTCCTGTTTAGTTTTCCTCACCTTGAAATAATTTAAATATAAAATAAACATTTAATAATATGTAAGAAAGATCATTAGAAAAACATGTTATATAAATTGAATTAATTACTAATACATTGTTATGGTATGCAACATGGCAGTAACTCAAAAAAAAGCTTTTTATTTTTTATTTCAAAAACTCAAGCATATTTATTGCTCTTTTTTGGCCTCAGTGTATTTAAAACTGAATTTATAAAATGATTTAGAACAATCAAAGTAGAGCTCTAAGTTTGAGACATTTGTTATATTGCTAGCCACTTCCCACTAAGTAGAATGGAAAAAAGAGAAAATAAATGATTTTAATATTTAGGTGACAATGATGTGTATTGCATAAGTTAAGCATTTAATGTTACTTTAGGGATATTTGACATATATCTCAGGTGAACTTATCCAGATTTGTTTATTGCTATTTGAATTTATTTGTCCATTTATCACCTATTGAACAATTTTTGACACGATAGTGCTGAAGAATCTGTTCAACATGGAATCAAAGAATATGCTACATTTCTTATCCTTTAATATTCAGTAATAAGAAAACCAAGAAATCCTCTAAATCATTGTCTATAAAACTAATAAAACATGACAGAAATTACTTCCATAATATTCAGAGATGATGAGGTTTCCCTACAGGGTTTTGATTACATGCTTTGCATTTGTTTACCTTGTATTTGACTATGTATGTGACTTATTTAATATGGCATAAAAAGTACACAATAAAAATACTACTAATGTTAATTAAAAGTGTATATGCTTATTTTATATGTGTTATGACTAATATTTAAATCATCTTTTCATGAGGGGTATTGTCATAAATATTTAATATCCCCATTCTTCAAACAGTGTTCAAATTAAGCAAATTCCCAGAGCATGTATACATTTTACTGCTGGAGACAGGAGTTAAAGATAAGCCTAACCACAGACCTATATTCTTTCCATTATCCCATACAGCTTCTAGGTTGATTAAGAGTGTTTGTCTGCTTATGTGTATGTACACATAAGCAATAATATGTTTTAATTAATTCCTTCCAGATCGTATGAAAGAATAGTTCAAAGAAAGCAAAATATTGATCTGTGATATATTCTATTCCTTTCAAACATGCATTATAAATCTAGAGTTAAGTCCTGTTACAGAGTCATCAAAATAGAATGAAAAATATTAAAATTACTTTATATTTATTTGTTATTTTTTCATTTGTAATAAAATATAGCTTTTCCTAGTTAATAAACAAGATTTGTTGATGACTGTAAACTGCCATTTTATAATTGATGTTAAATGATAAACAATTCTAAATACATAATAAACATTTGTGCTACCACCAATGATATGTAATTGAGTTTGTATTCCTATTTCATCTCTCAATATAAAGTTATATGCATATGCTTTATTCTTTTATCCTTTTAAAATTATTTTTAAATTATATTTTTTCTATTAGAATTATTTACCAAAATTTTGCTAATTTGTTTAATCAACTTCAAAACAAAATTAGACACCCAAAAACAATGCTTCATCTTTCAAGATCAATGGACAGCAAGTTGATATGATAGATGCTCCCAATGAAGATATACATCCTGAACTATGTGATCATAAAAAGCAAAGCTCAACACAGGCTCAATGTATTAACAGTCATCTTGTTTATAGACATTAAGGCAGGATCACAATAATTGATGTTCAAGCCACTATCTTTCTCTTCATTTATTGTGATAGGCCCATAATGGCCTCCATGGTGTTTATTGCAACTCTAAGTAATCTCCAATTTCAGAACTTACGAATTTGCTACCCTTTCTGACTGGAGTATTCTTATCCTGGTTATCCACATAGTGTGGTTCTTCATTTACTTTAGCTTCCTGTTGACATTTAAAGAGAGCTTTCCTCTACCATAAAATAGCAACTCCTCTTCTGGGCCCCAGTGTTCTCTACTCTCCACAGTCTGTTTTATTTTATTCATAACACATGTAACTACAGGACATATTATATATTTATATTTTTATTTTGTTATTGCCTGGTTCCCCTACATTAAAGCAAGTTTTCAGAGCAGATATTCCACTAATTTTTCACTATCTTGAATAGTGTATATTTCACAGGTCAAAGCCATATGTGTGTGTGTGTGTATGTGTATATATATATATATGAACTCTCTCTCTCTCTCTCTCTATATATATATATATATATGAACTATGTGACCATGAAAAGTAAAACTCAACACAGACTCAATGTATTAAAAGTCATCTTATTTATAGACATTAAGGCAGGATCACAGTAATGGATGTTCAAGCCGCTATCTTTGTCTTCATATAAATATAAATATGTATATATATCATATGTATATATAATCTTTTTAAATTAAAGAATGTATTACCTACACCTACCCTAGTATTTTCCTCTTATTTCGTCAAGTGTGCTTAACTTTTTTTGCAATTATCCTAAATGAAGTATTCTTTTTTTTTTTTTTTTTTTGAGACAGAGTCTTGCTGTCTCCCAGGCTGGAGTGCAGTGGTGCAATCTCGGCTCACTGGAAGCTCTGCCTCCCGGGTTCACGCCATTCTCCTGCCTCAGCCTCCCAAGTAGCGGTGACTACAGGCACCCGCCACCATGCCTGGCTAATTTTTTGTATTTTTAGTAGAGACGGGGTTTCACCACATTAGCCAGGATGGTCTCGACCTCCTGACCTCGTGATCCGCCCACTTCGGCCTCCCAAAGTGCTGGGATTACAGGCATGAGCCACTGCTCCCGGCCTGAATGAGGTATTCTTGTAAATAATACCTAATTGTAATACATGGAAGATTTAGCACAGTTTAATACACATATAAAATGTGTTAATTTCTATGCATTTGTGAATTTCCTTATTTTTGACAATTTGATGTAAATCTAGAGAATAAGAGGGTTCTCTATAGCAGGAAAAAAAGCTATATCCTGAATAAATTTTTATTTCTGATCACCCAAAATCAAATTGGTATTTTTATTCTTTGTAAAACATCTTCCTAATTGCATCACCATTTTATTTGGTCAGACTAATTATTTATTTTAGTAGTTATTGAGTAATATTAATTTAATACTGATTTGTATTAAATTAATTTTAAATCTATTAATTTGTATAATGTATTAAATTAATTTTAAACCTATTAATTTGCATAATTTAGGCATATATTAGCAATGATTTACACAAGTTATGCTTTATTGATTTAGAATAGTAAAGTTATGCATCATTTTAACTTTAAAGATATGAATTTCTAATTCATTCCAATAATTATTGCATAATTGCATTTATATTTGAGGAAAAATATTCTGCCTTAAATTAACAGTAATTTATCCTGTTCTAAGTTTTTAGATTTATATGGACACTGTATCCCATTTCATCTGATTTACTTTTTCCATTTTCTAATACCAGAATGTTTGAACAAGGACAGGATTTGAGTGGAAGTATAACTCAGATGACAGAATCCATGATATAAAAGAAGCATAAGTTTCAAAATTCACAGCCAGGCCTTTCTGCCTCTGCTGAATTTCAGCAGAAGTTTCAAAATTCACAGCCAGGCCTTTCTGCCTCTGCTGAATTTCAGCAACAAAGGTGTTAGATTCTGATTTGATGATACTGTAGTTCCAACAATTAAATATAATTGACTGAAATTTATCCTATAGAAACATGTTATAATTTATAATAAAATGTCTCTGTGATGTTTTCAGCTAGCTTTCAATTTTAAACTCTAATACCAAATACCAGAATAGCTTACCTAGAATACATTTAGAGTTTTGTAGTACTGAGTACATACTTATTTGCACAAATTTTTATATGTGAACCTTGCTTGAGCAAATGCTGTTTAATAACACCTCAGGCATTTTTTTTTATTTCCCTGTAATGATAAAGCTAGTTAAATATATAGATATATAATCAGCAACCATATTGATGCAGAGAGAAGGGAATTCAGTACACAACGGAGTACCTTTACTAGATAGGGCCAGATATTTGGTAGAAAATGGTTTAGAGGTTACAGTGAATAAAACAACAAGGAATATGGAGCTCCAAAGGGAGAATAATTCAGAAATAAATGCCAAAAAGATTTTTCAGATATAACGTTTTTCATGTTTATTCCTTGTTATAATGATTTGGGAAGCGAGGACATTATTAACTAAGATAAGCAAAATGACATCATTTTACTTTACTTCATAGCACTGAGGATGAAGCTTGAGTAATGACATATATCTTAAAGACTAGCTGAAATAAACAGAATCATCTAAATCATTGTGGAATTCAGCTGTGAGTAGAATTGGTTGTTATTTGTTAAGAGATACAATGGCATTTTGCAAATCTATTTATGGCTTCTGATTATGAAAGTCTATGACATGAACTTGAGTTCAAAGCCATTTCTTAAAATAAATTTTAATCATTCCCTCCATTATGAGGTACCAGTCATGGAAATAAAAAATTGCATCAGGAATAATTTTATATTATTAAAGAAAACAAATGCACTTTTTTTAACCTCAACCAAGAGCATGACTTCAGAATTTGAAAAACATCAGAAAAGGTCACATTCACAAATGCATGCAATCCAAATAACTGGAAAATTGAAAGAAAGAAGCAAGTCTTATTTAATGTATATTAATTAGTTCAAATCATTAACAAATATACTGCATTCAGTATTCAGGGCTTCTTTGTTTCGTTGAGATGGAGTCTTGCTCTGTCGCCCAAGCGGGAGTGCAATGGCACGATCTCGGCTCACTGCAACCTCCACCTCCCAGGTTCAAGCAATCTTCCTGTCTCAGCCTCCCGAGTAGCTGGAACTACAGGCACCCGCCACCACGCCCGGCTAATTTTTGGTATTTTTAGTAGAGATGGGGTTTTTACCATGTTAGCCAGGATGGTCTCGATCTCCCGACCTTGTGATCCGCCCACCTCGGCCTCCCAAAGTGCTGGGATTACAGGCGTGAGCCACCATGCCTGGCCAGTATTCAGTTTTAATACCGCTTCCTGTACAAAGCACAGTCCAATATTCCCCAGACAAAACTGTGTGCTACACAATGTATTACAATAGCTCCCCACAAAAGCATGTTCCAATTCAAATTATACTGCATATCGATATATACTTTGTTGAGGTCCACGGAAGTAGTAGAAAGGACAAAAGGGTACAGAGGCTGTAATTTCATCACTAAATGACTGATTGAAGAGGTGGCCAGTTCCAGATCACAAATCATTTGCATGACAAGTATTAGGATTGCAGATTTGAAAAATCTACATGAGATTCCAAAAGACAATATTCGTGGAGACTTGAATACTGCTTATTTTAATCTGCATTTAAAAGCCTGCCTGATTCACAGCATATTTTTTTCTCAAAAAAACATGAAAAGTATAAATCTTACACTAGCTCCATTATTGTAAGGCAATTTTAATATATCTACTTTAATGTAGATTTTATAAGTGAATAATATCTTGGTCACATACGTGTCATTTTATAAATAATTAAAATTTGTGCATCAAGTGTTTTTACTAGGTATATGGGATATAAGGGGTACCATATGGATAATATCTAATTAAAAAAGAGAGATACATTTAATATTTAAGGAAATTTTACCAGAGGCATTTTGCATATACAACTTATAAGAGACCTTAGGATCTGAGCAGGAAACAGTAAGACAACTCAGAAATTAACAACGTATAACCACCTCTAAAGCTAGGAAGGAAAGCCAGTGGGAAGGGCTATTAGAATTGGAGCACAATGGCTGGCATTACTCAGCAGAAACTGTAAGGTTGGGAGTCTGGTGAGAGCTAGTTTTATGGAGGAGATTCAGTCACTGACACAGATGCTGCCCACATATACAGGGGAAAATATTGCATTCCATTCTTCCGTTGGTTCTTCCCATGAGTAAAATCTAGCTGGAAGTCAGCTGTTGAGGCCACCTGGGAAATATCGCTATTGCAGTCAGCCTAGCTGCAGTAAAGACTATGACACACGATTGGCAAAGAAAAAATTCTTGGCCATGCAGGTTCAGGAAAGGCACTCTACACCTCTTGTTCTACCTTGTGTGCATTTTAATTTTTTGGCAGGTTTGACTCAAAAAAAAAGCCTTCATATTTCTGCCTAATATGAGACATCTCCACTTGAATAAAGAAATGGTCTCTTTCCTTCTACCCAGGAAGTATCTCAAAGACATATCCATTTAGAGTTTAATTTTTCCAGGTGAAATAACCATCTGCTGTGGCTGCTCATGATATATCGATGACCTATGAACTAAATGTTAAATCAACCTAATCAATACTCTTCATTCAAAGTAGTGGAGGAAAGGAAAAGGGGAAAAGAAATGTATATATTGCTGCTACAGAACTCATTTTTGAAACAGAACACAGATTTGCATTTATTGTTTCCTGTTTAACCACCTATATCATTTTTCTGTTGTCTTCAGTTGGAATATTAGCTCTTATTTATTTTGTTATTTTACCTGATAGTACAACTTTATTCTTAAAACATCTGACATATTAGTAGTACTACATTTATTACATTACTCAAATATTTCAGTGATCTTTAATGTAGGACATGAACTCATGAAGAGGTACAAGAAATCGCCTGAGCTCCAAACACTGTCTTACTTCCAAGTACTGTATAGTGGCAACTAAAACTTTCCTTGATAATACATGTCCATCTCCATCTATGTCTATCTCTATATCTATACCTATATCTATCATGACCGGAAGAGTATTCGAATATAAAGGCTCAAGAATACCAAAATATCCCCAAAAAAGTATCAAATCTACTTCTTTTAATAAGATTGCTATTGTTTCCCTGATAGAAACATTCTTGTTTGAAAACTAAAACCTGCAGAATTGCAGACCAAAGTTGCAGAGACAAGAAACCAAAAATCTCCAAGTACATTATTTGGTATAATGGTAGGATGGGTCATTTTAACATTTATATCTTCGTTCTCTTATCTATGTAATCCCGCCTATGGTAAAAACAGTATCTTTGATTTTTAATTAATGAAAAAAAATTGAAGAAAAAATTACCAGTCTCACTGGGTATTGTTTGCCATTTGGCACTGTGACTGACCCTTCAGCTGGCCTGTCAAATTCCATTAGGCCAGCTTCTTCTGCATCATTGGGTACATGGTATGCTCATATGATTATCCTTCTACTGAATGCCCAGAATGAGCAGAAGCCAACAGTAAGCTAAACACTCAACATGGCGCCATTACTCAGAAAGAATATCCAACTACCTAATGGCAGGTTAAGTACAATACATCTGTCCATCACTGAGGGGTGGCAATCTGGCTTACTCGAAGAAATGACATTTAAGATAGAAAAGTAGGAAAATAGATGTATTGATTTCTACATTCTTCTTTCTTTCCAATACTTGCTAAAGCCTCCCACTTGACAAATTCAGTTAGAAATTATGAATCACAGGAAATTATTTATACACAGGATATCCTTAATCCATTATGCAACAAGTCTCACCAACATTTGTATTTGGAATTTGTGAGAGCACAGTAAAACAGCAGCAATCCAAACTGCACAGCTATTCTTCCATTCTTGTCATCATTCAGATAAATGCTTCTCCTTTTTTCTACTTTTAGAAAATAACAACTTTATCAAGATATAATTCACACATCATAAAATTCACTCTTTCAAAGTCTATAATTCAGCGATTTTATATATGTTTACCAAGTTGGATGATCATCACTACTATCTAATTTTAGAACAATTTATCATCCAAAAAAACCTTTGTACCCATCAGTAGTCACTCTCCATTTTCTCTCCCAACCTCAGGCAGCCAATAACCTACTTTCTATCTCTATGGATTTTCCTATTCTGGATATCTCCCATAAATAAAACTATATGATATGTATGTATCATTTTATGGTAGAGTCTTTGTACTAAGCCTAATGTGTTCGAGGTTCACCCATGTTGTAGACACTTTGGTTGTTTTTGTATTTTGTTATTAATAATAATTCTGCTATAAATAGTCATGTATACATTTTTTATGGGGACATATATTTTCATTTGTCTTGGATATATGCATAAGAATGAAAGTGATGGGTTGTTTGGTAACTCTATGTTTAACCATTTGAGAACCTGCCAAATTGTTTTCCAAAGCAGGTGCATCATTTTATGATCCCATCAGCAATATATGAGGGTTCCAAATTTTCTACAACCTTACCAGTAGTTCTTGGTATCAATCTTTTTACTTTTAAACATACTAGTGAGTGCAAGGTAGTATAACATTGCACCTTTAATTTGTATTTCACTAATGAGTAATAAGACAAAAGTAAAGATCTCTTCATGTGCTTATTGAACATTTATATATTTTCATTGATTAAATGTCTATTAAAATTCCATTTTTAAAATTGTTAAAGCTGAATTGTAATTTTATGTTAGGTGGCAATACATTTTGCAAATATTTTCCCATTCAGTGGGTTGTTTCACTTTCCTGGTAGCACACCTGAAGCACAAACGTTTTTAATTTTGATAAAGTTAATTGTGTCCATTTTTTTCTTTTATTGCTTATACTTTTGATACTATGTAAAATAAGCCACTACCTAATCCAGTATTACAAAGATTTACTTAATTTTATTCTTACAGTTTTACAGTTTTTGTTTCTATGTTTAGGTATATGACCCATTCAGAGATAATTTTCTATATGGTATGGGGTAAGAATACAACTTCTTTGACTTGCATGTGGATAACCCCATATTCTAGTGCCATTTATTAAAATGACTACCCCGTTCTCCATCAAATTTTCTTGGTATCTAGTCAAAAATGAATTATTAATATAATAAATATAAGCATTTAGTTATAAACTCTTAAATACATTATCGATGTCTATGTTGACTCTTGTGCCAGTGCCTCACTGTCCTGATTACTGCAACTTTGTTGTGTGTTTTGAAACTGACAAGTATGGCCTCTCCAAATTTATTTGTCTAAGATTGCTTTGGGTATACTAGGCATCTATATGTCCTTTAGGATCAGATTACTTTGGGTATACTAGGCCCCTTACATTTATATAAGTCTTTTAGTAACAGCTTGCCAGGTCTGCAAAGAAGTCATTGGGATTTTGATAGGGATTGTGTTTAATCTGTGGATAATTCTGAGAAGTAGTGGCATTGCCATCTTAACAAAGTTAAGTCTCTATCCACAAACAAAGGATGTTTTTCCGCTTATTCTGGTTTTCTTAAATTACTTCCCATTATGTCTTGTAGCCCTTTTTTTTCATTTAATACAACATGTTTATTTTCTTTTTGCATTAGTCCTTATTATGATGGATTTAAATACATGTGTTTAAAAGCTCAATCTAAAGCATGCCTCTTTATAGAAGCATTATGTGCTTTTTTAAATATAACTTTTAAGTTCAGAAGTGCAAGTGCAGGTTTGTTACATAGGTAGACTTGTGTCATGGGAGTTTGCTGTACAGATTGTTTCCTTTCTAGGTATTAAGGCTAGTACCCATTATTTATTTTTCCTGATCCTCACCCTCCGAAAGGTTCCAGTGTGTATTGTTTCTCTCTCTGTGTCCATGTGTTCTCATCATTTAGCTCCCACTTATAAGTGAGAACATGCAGTATTTGGTTTTCTGTTCCTTTGGTTGCTAAGAATCATGGCCTCCAGCCCCATCCAAGCTCCTGCTAAGGACATGATTTCATTCTTGTTTATGGGTGCATGGTATTTCATGGTGTATATGTACTGCATTTTCTTTATCCAGTCAATTATTGATAGGCATTTATGTTGATTCCATGTGTTTGCCATTGTGTATAGTGCTGCAATGAACGTTTACATGCATGTGTCTTTATAACAGAATGATTTATATTCCTTTGGGTATATACCCAGTAGTGGAATTGCTGTTCTTTTAAAAAATGTTTTACGTACATATTAGTTGTACACTTTTATGGGATACATGTGTTATTTTGATACAAGAATATGGTGTGTTCTGATCAAATCAGGGCAAGTAGGATATCCATCACCTCAAACACATTATTTCTTTATATCTGGAGCATTCCCAATCTACTCCTCTAGTTCTTTTTGAAATATACAATAAATTATCGTTAACTATAATCACACCACGGTGCTACTGAACACTAGGTCTTATTTCTACTAACTTATTTTTGGTACCCAGTAACCATCCTCTCTTCCCCTCACTGCCTCCCATTACCCTTCTGATACTCTGGTAACCATCATTCTACTTTCCACTTTCATGAGATAAATTTTTTTAACTCCCACATCTGAGTGAAAACATGCAATATTTACCTGTCTGGCCTTGGCTTATTTCAGTTAACAGTGTTCTCCAATTCCATTTATACTGTTGCAAATGTCAGGATTTTATTCTTTTTTTATGGCTGAATAGCATTCTACTGTATATATGTACCACCTTTTTTTTTGTCCATTCATGCACTGATGGATAATTAAGTTGATTCTATATTTTAGCTATTGTGAACAGGGCTACAATAGATGGAAATGCAGATATGTCTTCGATATGCTGATTTTCTTTATTTTGCATTCATATCCAGCAGTGGGATTGCCAGATTATATGGTAATTCTATTTCTAGCTTTTAGAGGAATCTCCGTATTGCTTTCCATATCGCCTGTACTAATTTACTTTCTCACAGTATACAAGCATTCTCTTTTCTCTGCATCCTAATTAACATCCATTATTTTTTGTCTTGTGGACAAAATACTTTTTAATAGGAATAATATAATATTCTTTGTAGTTTTAATTTGCATTTCCCTGATAATTAGTGATGTTGAACATTTTTTCACATACTTTTTGGCCATTCGTATGCCTTCTTTTGAGCTATGTCTATTCGGATCATTTATACTTTTTAAATTGGATGGTGATGATGATTCTAATTAATTGCTATTGAGTTGTTTGACCTCCTTATATATTCTGGTTATTAATGGCTTGTCATTAATATTCAAACTTGAATAGTTTGTGTACAAATCTTTAATATTTTTACTCTAAAAGATTCTACATATTTTATTCTATTTGATTATAAAAATGAAAATGTTTTCTTAAATTCATTTTCAGAATTTTCATTGTTATTTGTAGATATGCAGCTTTTGTGTGTGTATTCACTATTCCTAATCTGGATACCTTTAATTTATTTTTCTT
This sequence comes from Homo sapiens, assembly GCF_000001405.40. Lineage (NCBI taxonomy): Eukaryota > Metazoa > Chordata > Mammalia > Primates > Hominidae > Homo > Homo sapiens. Next base: position 66,714,005 of record NC_000006.12, on the reverse strand, counting down.
GAATATTTGCCTTGTCTATAATTTTCACTACAGTGCTGTAGAAATTAGAAGGGTGGACGTATTTGTCTTTTTTTCTGATTTTAGGGAAAAACTTTTCATATTTTATGATTAAATGTGATATATTAGCAGCAGAATTTTTTTGGTTAATGGCCTTTATCATTTTGAAGATACTCCAGCATTTATATTTTTACTTTTTATATGTAATTCTCTCCATTTTGATGTTGTGTACTTGATGAGAAGTCATTTTCATATTTTCATTACTTATAGGTGGTTTCCTTGGATTTTTAAAAAAACTTTGTAATTATCAATTAAAATCTTTTTACTAAAAAGTCCAAAATCTTGGGGGTTTCTTCAACAATGTTTTGTATTTACGGCTTTTATTCTTTAGGTATTAGTTATACTTTCTTATTTCTTTGCATATTTCGTAACTGTTGGTTATCAACTGTTGCTTGATAACTAGATATTATATCTAATCTAATTTCTAATATAATGAGGTCTATATAAAAATCCAACTCGCTTTCCCCACTAGATTTTGTTCATGGTAGTTTGTTGTTGATTTGGCTATTGCTTTTTTATTGACTTTTTGGAGTAATTCTGTAATCTTTTTTCAATATGAAACCATGAAATTTTTTGCTTGACAAGTGTTAGCTTAGTGGTTAAATCATTATTGAACAAAAATTTTCTTAAATATCTTAAGTCAATAAGCCTCCCCAAATCTTCCAAAAGATGTCTAGGAGTGTGTGTGTGTGTGTGTGTGTGTGTGTGTGTGTGTGTGTGTGTGTTGGGGCATTCTTTCATGCTCCAGCACTTTAGGACTCTTCATTAACTTTCACTGACTACTTGTTCAGAAGCTCATGGTCATATCTGAAAGCCCGTTGCCTTCTCAAGTCTTTCCTCATCATGTACATAGCCCTACATATATGAATTACTTTTTAGATCTCAGTGATATATTTCAAGCTCTTCAAAGTTTCTTATGAACATCACATTTCTGATATTATTTTGTTTGAATTATTTTTTTCTTTTGCTAGAGAGTCTCTTGTTTGTCCCAACTTGTATTACCTCCACATGCATCATACTTTTTTTTATACCTTAAGTTCTAAGGTACATGTGCACAATGAGCAGGTTTGATACATAGGTATACATGTACCATGTTGGTTTGCTGCACCCATTAACTCGTCATTTACATTAGGTATTCTCTTAAAGATATCCCTCCCCCAGCACCCCACCCCACGACAGGTCTTGGTGTGTGATGTTCCCTGCACTGTCCATGTGTTCTTGTGGTTCAACTCCCATCTATGAGTGAGAACATGCAGTGTTGGTTTTCTGTCCTTGTGATAGTTTGCTTAGAATGATGGTTTCCAGCTTCATCCATGTCCCTGCAAAGGACATGAACTCATCTTTTGTTATGGCTGCATAGTATTCCATGGTGTATATGTGCCACAATTTCTTAATCCAGTCTATCACTGATGGACATTTGGGTTGGTTCCAAGTTTTTGCTATTGTGAATAGTGATGCAATAAACATACATGTGCATGTGTCTTTATAGTATGCATGATTTATAATCCCTTGGGTATATACCCAGTAATGGGATCACTGGGTCAAATAGTATTTCTAGTTCTAGATCCTTGAGGAAACTTTGCACTGTCTTCCACAATGGTTGAACAAATTTACACTCCCACCAACAGTGTAAAAGCATTCCTATTTCTTCACATCCTCTCCAACATCTGTTGTTTTCTGACTTGTTAATGATTGTGATTCTAACTGGTGTGAGATGGTATCTCATTATGGTTTTGATTTGCATTTATCTGATGACCAGTGGTAATGAGCATTTTTTCACATGTCTGTTGGCTGCATAAACGTCTTCCTTTGAGAAGTGTCTGTTCGTATCCTTCGCCCACTTTTTGATAGGGTTGTTTGATTTTTTCTTGTAAATTTGTATAAGTTCTTTGTAGATTCTGGATATTAGCCCTTTGTCAGATGGGTAGATTGCAAAGATTTTCTCCCGTTCTGCAGGTTGCCTGTTCACTCTGAAGATAGTATTTTTTTCTTTTCTTTTCTTTCTTTCTTTTTTTTTTTTTTTTTTTGCTGTGCAGAAGCTGTTTAGTTTAATTAGATCCCATTTGTCTATTTTGACTTTTGTTGTCATTGCTTTTTGTGTTTTAGTCATGAAGTCTTTGCCCATGCCTATGTCCTGAATGGTATTGCCTAGGTTTTCTTCTAGGGTTTTTATGGTGTTAGGTCTTACATTTAAGTCTTTAATCCACCTTGAGTTAATTTTTGTATATGGTGTAAGGAAGGGACCCAGTTTCAGCTTTCTAAATATGGCTAGCCGGTTTTCCCAGCACCATTTATTAAACAGGGAATCCTTTTCCCATTGCTTCTTTTTGTCAGGTTTGACCAATGAGAACAAAGATATAACATACTGGAATCTCTGGGACACACTTAAAGCAGTGTGTAGAGGGAAATTTATAGCACTAAATGTACACAAGAGAAAGCAGGAAAGATCTAAAATTGACACCCTAACATCACAATTAAAAGAACTAGAGAAGCAAGAGCAAACACATTCAAAAGCTAGTAGAAGGCAAGAAATAACTAAGATCAGAGTAGAACTGAAGGAGATAGAGACACAAAAAAACCTTCAAAAAATCAATGAATCCAGCAGCTGGCTTTATGAAAAGATCAACAAAATAGACTGCTAGCAAGACTAATAAAGAAGAAAAAAGAGAAGAATCAAATAGATGTAATAAAAAATGATAAACGTGATATCACCACTGATCCCACAGAAATACAAACTACCATCAGAGAATACTATAAACACCTGTATGCAAATAAACTAGAAAATCTAGAAGAAATGGATAAACTCCTGGACACATACACCCTCCCAAGACTAAACCAGGAAGAAGTTGAATCTCTGAATAGACGAATAACAGGTTCTGAAGTTGAGGCAATAATTAATAGCCTACCAACCAAAAAAAGATCAGGACTGGACACATTCACAGCCCAATTCTACCAGAGGTAAAAAGAAGAGTTGGTACCATTCCTTCTGAAACTATTTTAATTGATAGAAAAAGAGGGAATCCTCCTTAACTCATTTTATGAGGCTAGCATCATTCTGATACCAATGCCTGGTAGAGACACAACAAAAAAAAGAGAATTTTAGCCCAATATCCCTGATGAACATCAATGCGAAAATCCTCAATAAGGACTCATCAAAAAGATCACCACTGGGAATCTTGACCTTTGTTGAAAAGGGAAGAGAAAGAGAAGCTTAATGAGCACATTGAAGCACTTACCAGAAAGAAGAGGGAAGACTTCTGGATGAAACCTCTGTGAGTACCTTAACATTCACGTGGAAGTAGTAAAAATAAGATTCTGGGTGCAGTTCTCCAATGACAGGAAAAAAAAAACAAAGAGAATTTGAAGAATACGTCAGAGACAAATACGTTACAACCAAAGTTGACTTCAAGGCACTTTTGAAGGAGATCAAATTTATAACAAATAATATAGTGAAAGTAAAAGCTTGTGGAAGATGTTGGAATCATCCATCCTGAAAATTGAAGCCTTCTGTTCATCAACAGAACAGCTAAGAAGCTAATCTAAGAATGACCAGCACCTGAAAGATGTAGACAACATTTTGCAGAATGATAAATGGTATCGAGTACTGGACTGTGCCTGAGAGGCATCAACTGAATGTGGATGTTGATGACCTGGACTGTCAGGGTCCACCTCTACCTCCCAGAGCCTCAGAGCCCACAAGACAAAATAATTCTGAATACTGTTCCATGGGGGTAATCTACTAATTCAAAATGCCTGCCTGTGCCAATTTTCAGGTTTTTATGTACATAAGTATTAGTTGACCTGTTGCAAGATGATCTGACAAATAGAAGCATTTGTGACATTTCTGAACAGAGAACACTTTGGAAATATTTTTTGTGTGACATTATTGATAAATACATGCTATCTCTAGTAAATCTAAAATCTTGAAACTCAAAATCATCCTTTTATGGGTGTAGAAGTCAGTGATTTAATGATGCTCTTCCTAACAGTGGTGTGCATGGAAAGGTTTTCATTAAAGAGCATATGTGGTTTGCATTTGCAAGATTCAACTAGCACAGACTCCAAGAAAACCTAAGTTTTTAGTTTTTTAAAGCAGGTAAGGCCGGGCACTGTGGCTTACACAAGTAATCCACACACTTTGGGAGGCTGAGGTGGGAGGATTGCTTGAGCCCAGGTGTTTGAGAACAGCCTGGGCAACATAGTGGGACCCTGCCTCTACAAAACATTGAAAAATTAGCTGGGCAAGGAGGCATGTGCCTGTAATTCCAGCTACTCCGGAGGCGGAGGTGGGAGGATTGCATTTAGCCCAGGAGGTTGAGGCTGCAGTGAGCCATGAACACGTCATTGCACTTCAGCCTGGAAACAGAGCAAGACCCTCCCTTCCCCCCTACCCCCGCCCCCCAGAAAAAAGTAAAACTCTGAAAATTGAATAATCTGTCAGAGGCGAAAATTACTGTAATGGACATGCTTGTAAATCATCTCTAAAGAACAATTTAATTTTTTCACTTATATATTTTGCTTATACCCTCTAAATTATAGGCCAATCTTGGTGATTAACCTAAGGGATTTATTTAGCAGTTTCTTCTAAGGTATGGAGTCACAGTCATTATGAAGTTGGTCTAAATCAAACTGCCAGTGATTTTTATAGAGGAATGAAAAAAAGAAAAAAACTGCTGGTGAAACACACTTTATCATGAAGCAATCTTTGTCAATACTCTGGATTAGACAAATTACTTTCTGGATGTTTCCTGAAAACTGTACTTCTGTTTAAATGTTAAACTTTTGTTCTAAAGTTTAAGATGTTTGAATGTCAGTTTATGTATTTGAACCACAATTAATTGATCCTTTCATAGTTAAAAAAAAAAAAAAATCCTGGCAAACCGAATCCAGCAGCACATCAAAAAACTTATCCACCACGATCAAGTGGCTTCATCACTGAGATGCAATGCTGGTTCAACATACGCAAATCAATAATTGTAATCTGTCACAAAAACAGAACCAACATCAAAAACCACATGATTATCTCAATAGATGCAGAAAAGGCCTTTGATAAAATTCAACAGCCCTTCATGCTAAAAACTCTCAATAAGCTAGGTATTGATGGGACTTATCTCAAAATAATAAGAGCTATCTATGACAAACCCACAGCCAATATCATATTGAATGGGCAAAAACTGGAAGCATTCCCTTTGAAAACCGGCACAAGACAAGGAGGCCCTCTCTCAACAATCCTGTTCAACATAGTGTTGGAAGTTCTGGCTAGGGCCATCAGGCAAGAGAAAGAAAGAAAGGGTATTAAATTAGGAAAAGAGGAAGTCAAATTATCTCTGTTTGCAGAGACATGATTGTATATTCAGAAAACCCCATCATCTCAGCCCAAAATTTAATTAAGCTGATAAGCAACTTCAGCAAAGTCTCAGGATACGAAATCAATGTGCCAAAATCACAAACATTCCTATACACCAATAATAGATAAACAGCCAAATCATGAGTGAACTCCCATTCACAATTACTACAAAGAGAATAAAATACCTGGGAATCATACTTACAAGGGATGTGAAGGACCTCATCAAAGAGAACTACAAACCCCTGCTCAATGAAACAAAAGAGGACACAAACAAATGGAAGAACATTTCATGCTCATGGATAGGAAGAATCAATATCGTGAAAATGGCCATACTGCCCAAGGTAATTTATAGATTCAATGCTATCACCATCAAGCTACCACTAACTTTGTTCACAGAATTGGAAAAAACTACTTCAAAGTTCATATGGAACCAAAAAAGAGCCTGTGTAGCCAAAACAATTCTAAGCAAAAAGAAAAAAGCTGGAGGCATCATGCTACTGGACTTTAAACTATACTACAAGGCTATAGTAACCAAAACAGTATGGTACTGGTACCAAAACAGATATATAGACCAATGGGACAGAGCAGAGGCCTCAGAAATCACACCACACATCTACAATTATCTGATCTTTGGCATCACATTTTTAATGTTAAACAATTTGCCAGTGATTTTTTGTCCTCCAAATACTGTTGTTTCCAGGTGAAGTGTCAGAGCACCAGCAAGGGAAGTGATTTGCAAGAAGAACTTACCAACAACAATATAGGTATGAAGAGAAAAGTTTTATTAGATTAGAAGAATGCTGCAGAAGAGTGAAGTGAGAAGCCTCAGCAAGAGAGGACTGAGTAAGTCACTGTGGATTTTTCCTTAGAGGTGTTTATGGACCCTAAAGCAGGGAAATTTGGATCTTATTAGCCACATAGGTCATGATAATTATTACACTTGTAGTAGATATTTTGGTGCCTTGATATTAGCAAGAGTTGCACAATGAGTTTCGACATTCATGAATTCCAGAGATGTACAGAAATTCTAGTTATTTACGAATTGAAGGGAAAGAAGCCTGGAACCAGATGTCACATTTAGATAATAGGAAAGTCTAGTTACTTCTAAATTTCTCAGATAAGGAGTTTTACCTCTGGATGGCCTGTTTGATGGTCACTAGGTGATCTTTGCTCTCTTCATTTTCTCCCTGACAAATATCTTGGTCAAATCTTTTATCCTTTATGTTTCCCTAAGCTCAGTTTACCTGCTGCCAATTAGGTTCTCAAGAAAGGGAAAATGGCACAGTGAAAAGGGGTGTTGAGTCTGTCTGGCTACTTCCTGCTGAAAAGAAGGCATTGAAAGGATAAGTTGCATTTTCCTTTTCTTGCTCTCTCTCATGAAGGAAAAGAAGAGTCATGAAAAACTTATTCATGGGGAAAGACCAGATTCTTTCAAGAGGCCCCATGTAAATGGGCGTTGCTGTTGCAGGCTGGTATTGGGACTGCATAGTCATCTGTAAGTGGAACAATTGTAATCTGGAAGATAGAAACTTAATCAGAGCATCAAAAATGCAGGGACCAAATATTAAAAGAATGATGAGGAATAAAGGTCCTAGTAATGGGAGAAGCCATGTGATTTTTGGAAATGAATTAGTAAAGGTTTTGGCCCAGTCTTGGTTCCTCTGGGAAAGTGTGTGTAGCCATGCAACTTGTTAAAAAAATTTCTTGGATATTAGTTTCCACTTTTTTAGACCCACTGATGTAGGTGCAACAGGATTTATTGATGACATCACAGACTCCTACTTGTTCAGATAGGAGGTAGAGTTTGTCTATTATCAAAAATTATTCCTGCTAGTGAGTCTACAGACTTTTCTAGCACCAAAAATCTTACTTCAGTTCTTGCTTAGACTATGATAAGGGAGGTAGTAAGTTCCTGTAATGTGATTTCATAGTAAATAAAACCTCCCCAAGGGGTGAGAGTTGTGATAGTTCCTAAAACACTATCCATAATAAGTCCTAGGGCTCTTTTTTTTTCTAGAATGAGATTCTAGATTGAGAGTTATGTTTAAGACAGCAATTTGGGTGGAAGATACTGCACCCAGAGTACAATCCCATAATAAAGAGAATTATAAAAATAAGATAGGACTAAACCTTTAACAGGGTTTAAATAATTACAAGCAGTGCAGCACAGCCATAGGAGCCCCAGAGCCGCGGGCCTTCTTGGAGTAAGAGGGCCATGCTGCTAACCGTCTTAAACTGGAGGCCATCCCCGGGATAGTACATTTAAATTTTTTGAAATATATGCTATAGGTGCTTAGAAGGACCAAGATTTTGGGCTAAGACTCCCAAAGCTATTCCCCTCCATCTGTGTATATACAAAAAGAACAGTTTAGTCAGTCCTAATGAGGGTAAGATCAAGGCTGAGATGAAAACCTATTTTAAAGTGTTTAGAGCATGCTTCATATCATTATTCCAGCATAGAGATGTTCCCCAGTTCCCTTGAGGGCCTCATATAAAGGTTTTGCTACTACTCTGAAGGAAAGAATCTATATATTCGAAAACCTGGCCATATTCAAAAAGGACTGAAGCTATTGTTTATTTACTGGGTGATATGGTTTGGCTCTGTATCTTCCCATCCCCCCAAATATAATGTTGAATTGTAATCCTCACTGTTGGAAAAGGGACCTGATGGGAGATGATTGGATCTGGGGCTGGTTTCCTCCTTGCTGTTCTTATGATAGTGAGTTCTCATGATATCTGCTTGATTATAATCCAAGAATAGAGTTAGATGTGCTTATTTTTGCCCTTGCCCTGTTCTGCAGGACTCCCTTGTCAGGTAGGTTGGTGAGGTTGTAGCTGTAATAGTCTAGAAGGAAGACGTACCTTCCCCACCATGAGGGAGAAAGGAACACTCACTCTTCCAATGACCCTCTTGTTTACAATAAGGACAGGGTTCCAGGGGTGGCTTGTAACCCAGAGGCTTGGGACATTCTCTACCCCAGTGTCCTGGATTCCCGCAGTGATGACAGGCCCGTTCTTTTAGTGTTATAAGGACAAGCCTTGGGGTAGTTAGCTAACAAAAAGAATGTGCCAATGCCATGGCTATATAATATGCTTGGCGATGGCTTTTTTTCTCCTCCATTTGAGCTTTTATATTTTTTGTTTCCTCCTGGTTACTGAAAATGTTAAAGGCTACATTTAATAAAGTAGGAAGGGGAGATTGTGGGCCTTGCTCTAACTTTTGGAGGTTTTATCCAATATCTGGGGAAGCCTAACTTCTTATAAAATATATGGCTCAATGGAAAGGCTCTCAGGGCTTTCAGAGCCTAAATTTGTGTATTTATGCATGTCCTCCCCAAGTCTAGCTTGGAAAAGAGCAAGGCTCTCATATGGCTCCTGAGTGATTATTCTAATTTAGAAAAATTAATGGGTTTTATTACCGCCTTTTTCATTCCTTTCAACAAACAAGTTATCATATCATCTTATCTGCCCTGCCTCTGTTTGGATTGGCATTGAGAGGCGACAGCATGCTGCAGCCCTCACTTGCTCTCAGCACCTCCTTGGCCTGGGTGCCCACTCTGGCCATGCTTGAGGGGCCCTTCAGCCCGCGGCTGCACAGTGGGAGCCCTTCTCTGGGCTGGCGGAGGCCTGAGCCGGCTCCCTCAGCTTGGTTTGTAAATGTACCAATCAGCGCTCTGTGTTTAGCTGATTTGGTGGGGACTTGGAGAACCTTTATTTCTAGCTAAGGGATTGTGAATGCACCAATCAGCACTCTGTGTCTAGCTCAAGGTTTGTAAATGCACCAATAAGCACCCTGTGTCTAGCTCAGGGTTTGTGAATGCACCAATCAGTGCTCTGTGTCTAGCTAATCTAGTGGGGACTTGGAGAACTTTTGTGTCTAGCTCAGGGATTATAAACACACCAATCAGCACCCTGTGAAAATGGACCAATCAGCTCTCTGTAAAACAGACCAATCAGCTCTCTGTAAAATGGACCAATCAGCAGGATGTGGGTGGGGCCAGATAAGGGAATAAACGCAGGCTACCCTAAGCAGCAGTGGCAACCCTCTCAGGTCCTCTTCCACACTGTGGGAGCTGTGTTCTTTTGCTTTTGGTAATAGATCTTGCTGCTGCTCACTCTTTGGGTCTGCATTGCCTTTATGAGCTGTAACACTCATCGCGAAGGTCTGCAGTTTCACTCCTGAGGCCAGCGAGACCACGAACCCACCAGGAGGAATGAACAACTCCAGACACGCCTCCTTAAGAACTTTAGCACTTACCGTGGAAGTCTGTAGCTTCACTACTGAAGCCATTGAAACCACGAACCCACCAGAAGGAAGAAATTCTGGACATATCCAACTATCAGAAGGAACAAACTCCGGATACATCACTTTTAAGAACTGTAACACTCACCACCAGGGGCCGTGGCTTCATTCTTGAATTCAGTGAGACCAAGAACCCACCAATTGCAGACACAGCATCAGTGGCCTGGTACTGCCAATTGGGTTCTGTCTCAAAGACAGCTTTTGCCCCAGCTCTATCATAATTAGGATAATGAGCATAAACTTAATTAGGCCATGCTCGAGCTGACGACCATATGCATGATTTTTCTTCATGGGAACAGCAAATATTTAATACCGCAACTACGTCTTGCCAGGTTAAATCAGAGGCAATCATTAAAGCCCAAAATTCTTGAATGAATTCCGAGGGATCTTGGCTAAATAAATGCAACTTGAATTGAATTTGCAAAAGATCAGACATTGGAAAAGAGACATGAATTCAAATTGTTCCCAAGTCTCCATTTGCCACCTTGCAGAGAGGTAAAATATTTTTAGAACTTTCTAAGGACTGTGTATTAGTGGCATCTGTGACTCCTGTGTGAGCATGCGAGGGGAATAAAGTATCTGGTTATGAGGCGGTTGATTAGCCAATGCAGCACATGGAGAGGGTGTAGATGAAGTGGGAGCAGGCTGGGGAGAGTGTGATAGGCAAAAGGAAGGGTCATTTAAAACATTAGAATCAGGGAGGGAGGAAGTTTCCTGGACACATACATGACAATTTTCATATAATTTTGGGTTTTGAGATAGAGAGAAAAAGAGCTGAACATACAGGAACTCTGAATCTTTTCAGAGGTTCCAACAAAATGAGTCTAGTTACAAAATAATATTTGAATCCAAGGTCCCATTGATAGGCCAATTTAATTTACTTGGTTTTTATATTGAACCCAAGCTGTATTACAAAAGAAAGTTAATGCTTATTTTTGAGAGTCTGTGGGCAAAAATGGGGCCAATATTTAAGAATGCAACCCAAGTGTGAGTCGAATGGAATTGAAGAATGAATTGAACCCATGTTGGGTTTAGATCAGGGACTACAAAATCCCTGAGGCGTCCCTGAGGCTTTTGGACCTCCCTTTTCCCTTTGGCGCACTCTTTTCAGGGGCACCTCACCACTGATAGAGGGCCTGCCCTTGCCTGTACGACTAGTCCAGGTGCGCCCTTGTCTGAGCAGTCAGCTCAAACCTAATGTGAAGGAGAACTCTCTCATAATTTGAGATGTAGTGTCTGTGAAAAAGTTGAATCCAAAATTGGGTCCACAACCAGTAGAGCGTGTCTGCACAAAGTTGAAATCACTGCTGCTCATTTACAAGCCACCCTTTACAGAGTGTTGAAGTGAAAGTGGACCTGCCACCCTATTGTACAAGAGCAAATTAGCTCTTTTGTCTTGGCCTGCAGGTAACCCCGGGGAATGGCCCTTAGCCAGAAGCCATTAATTGCTTTTTACTGGCAGTCTGAAAACAGAAAAGAGCCCTTGCCAGTTCCCCATCCCTAACGGCAGTGACAGACAGGTATCTTTTCTCCAGGGCTTCAGGATCCCACCAGAACATGGCCTCAGCCAGGGATGGTCAGTTCCCAAGAGTAAAGAACAAGACTGTCGAGGGAAATAGGAAGAAAAGAAAAGGGAGAAATCCCAGTGTAGTCCCCGTATGGGCCACCAAGATGCTGGGCGAGGTGACAGAGCCCCAGCAAGGGAAACTGATTGGCATGTGAGTAGTAAGACATATTTACCAAAAACGGCATAGGTTTGAAAAGAAAAGTTGTATTAGATAGAAATAATCCTGCAGAAGAGTGCAGCAAGGTGTCCAGTAGGAGAAGACTGATCACGCCACAGTGAGTTTTTCTTTATGGACTTTAAAGCAGAGCTTGAGGGAAATTTGGAGCATATTAGCCATGTGTGTCATGATAAATGATTACATTTGTAGACATTTAGTGCCTTGATGTCAGGAAAGGTTTCACAATGAGTTTCGACATGCATGCATTCTGGAGATGTATAGAAATTCTAGTTATTTACAAATTTTTAGGAAAGAAGCCTGGAACCAGATGCCGGCTTTATAATAAGAAAGTCTAATTATGTCTAAATTCCTCAAATAAGAAGTTTTGCCTCTGGATGGACTGCGTGATGGCCACCAGGTGATCTTTGCTCTCCTCAGTTGATATAGGACCTTTTCTCCTGAGTGAGCCCTGCGTCACATTAAATAACTGCAAACCCTAAAAGTGAGACTAGATTTTCTAGAGTACTGCTGGAAAGTTAAAACAATGATAATTCTCTGCAGATTTTTTTGAAGGCGATCCAAATCATTTCTATACCCTTCAATAATTGCCAAATTGCTGGTATCCACAGCAATTGTGATTGTTAGGCTGCTAGTTCTCAAAACTATTGCGGACCTGAGAAAGTGGGAATTAAAATGGGCTAATTAAAACGCCACAAATGTCTTTATACTTAACAAAGATGCAGTCATTTTGGTTCTTTCTTTCTTTCTACGTGCTAAAGTAATTTAAATTCATTTAAAGCTGATTTTCCATGCTGCTCAATATTTGTGCAACAAAAAGTAAAAACAAATACATATTTCTCACTGTAGAGGTTTAGTTAGAAAACATAATATCTAAAAACAGAGATATAAAGATAAACATTTTTGTCACTGTATACCAAACATATTTTTTAAAACATAGAGAGTATATTAATTTATAACTTACGTGAGTTTAAAATATGTCAGTACTTAAAATTTACATCCATGAAAAAATTTACTTTTTTTTGGTGAAAGTTCTCTTTTTTAAGTTATGTTTAATAGAAAACAATATTAAATAACAACAAACAGTAGCACTTTTAAGTATACTGAATCTTTTACCCAGAGGCAAGATATCTTCATGATTATCAACTTAGTTTTTATCAACTGAGATATTTTCTTTGCATATTTCCCATAAAACTGTATCTATGATGATTTTTAAACAAAATTAAACATGAAAAACACATATAATTCCAAATTGCTGCAAATTTACTATTGCATATTACCTTATTTCAAATAATTACTATTACTGCATGCTATTATTTTATTTTTTGAAAAAAGAGTAAAATAAATTTAAAAAATTAAAGTAGTACATTATCCTAACTAAATCTGACTGAAATAAGAAAAAGTATTTAAAATAAATAATGTACCATTTTATAGTCCCCCAATAAACTATAATTAAAATAACAGTAAAAAGATGATAGTTTTTTTACACCTGATGCTAACTTTAATCAAAGAGATAAAGTGTTCGTTTAAAAATGTTATTATCTGCCAAAAATTTTCAGTCAAATTTTCTCTATCTTAGTATTAATCAAAATGCTTTTTTTATACTATTTTACTTTTTATCAGTAAATTAAATTCTTATCTGTCACATTTTTGCACTTTCTCCAGTATTGTCCTTACACTGAATATAATCTATAACATTAAAAACATAAGCACCTCTAACACATAGCCTCAGTTCATCCTTTGATTTATGTTATTACTAAAATTGCATATAAGCCTTTATAAATCTAATCTTATATCAACAAAAAGAGCTCATGTCTGTCAAATTGCCATTCATAAGTATAAAGGAGGTGTAGTAGTCAGGGTTCTCCAGAGACACAGTACTAATAGGGCGTGTGTGTGTGTGTGTGTGTGTGTGTGTGTGTGTAAGTAGAGAGAAAGAGACAGAGAGAGAGAAAGAGACAGAGACAGAGAGAAAAAAGAAGAGAGAAGGACAGAAAGAGGTTGATTTTAAGGAATTGGTTCATGTGATTGTGCAGAATTGGAAGTCCAAATTCTGCACAGTAGGCTGGCAGACTGGAAATTCAGGAAACAGTTTATGTTGCACCTGAAGTCTGAAGACAGTCTACTTGCAGAACTTCCTCTTCTTTGGAGGTCAATTCTTTTCTTGAAATCCTTATGGGTTAAGATACGGATATGGATAAAATGTAACTATATTGGGGGGTTAATTTGCTTTACTCAAGTCTACTAATTTAAATGTTAATCTTATCTTTAAAAATACCTTCACGGCCAAATCCATGCATGCTAGACCAAATATCTGGGTACTGTGTCCTATCCATGTTGAAACATAAACTTAACCAGTGCTCAGGGACAAAAGTACAAATATTATTTTCGAAACCATAAGGTATTTGTATTTCTCTTATTTACAAATACTTGCTTCTAAATTCAGTGCCCCCTTCTCTATTACTTTCTTTGTCAATGGAATTCACTTCCTAATGAGAAAAAAGGTGATCTCTACAAGAAAGCTTTTCCAGATCTCAAATCGTTACTTTATCATGTTCCCATAGCCTGCTGTTAAAAGTGATACATACTGATGTATATTATTGTTAGGATTTTTAAATATATTCTCAATATTAATTTATTAAGAACATTTTTTACTAGTCATCTAACAAGTATCAGGCACTGGAAAAGCAAATATGAATAAGACAAACTTTCCTTGAGTAACTTACAATCAAGTGAAGGATAGAGGAAAATGCAAATGCCAAAATACAGTATGCTATTGCAATATGTTATTATTTGAAGAGCACATATAAACCGTATATAAATCAGCTTTGGAGGCTTATAAAAAATCACTTCCATAAGATGAGATTAAGGAAGCAAAGATGACTGAAGTGAAAGACCTCACACAGCCCTACAGAATCAGTTTTCCAGAAGGAAATATAGATGAATTGTGACAAACACAGGAAAATGGTCTATTAAAATAAGGGCCTAGAAATTGGCTTTACATTTGGCACATAGTGGAGAATTTTATTGAAGAGATGAAAGGGACTGGTGTCATAATGTACTTTATAGCAAAATAGATGAAAGATGAAGTGAATACTCATGGGAAAAAAAAGCTTATTTGAACAGATTGAATGAGAAGGGTAGGGCAATGCTATGAAACATATCTTGTTCTAGAGGAGTTTTTCATTGAAAAAGGGGTTTGTGAGTCTTTGATAATTCATGGCATTTGGTCAAAAAGATGAAAGAAATTATGGGAGCTTAAGAAGAAAAACAGTTAAAATGTTTGCTTTCATATGTTTTCACAATTTGTACTTTCTATAATTTTTATAGCTTTGCAGAGCTCTCACTGTGATCTTAATAATACATAACTCTTATTGTTTGCTCATGTGAAACAAAAACTGCATGTACCATTGCCCTAGTCTAATTTAGGTAATTTAAAATTAAGTGGATGTAGCTCATTTTAACAAAATTATTTTCACATTTTTTCATCAACAATGTAACAATAGAAAACTTCGTAATTTTGATTCCATTATTGTGCTATGTTATATTTCTAACTGAACAAAGGTATCTGGCATTAAGGAAGGTTCACTGAAAGTAAAAATATATATAAAGATTGTATTTATATGCATATGTATATGACAGTGAATATGTAATAACCATTTATGTACCATTTATTCAAAAATAATTACTAAATTCCTACCTAATTTCCTTTCTACTAATAGTAAAGACAAATATGATTAAATTATATAATGAAATTCTAGTTGTAATTTTAAAAAATCTACTATTGTGTGAATTGGCACAAGAAGCCAAATTTAAGAGAAATCTGGACTTTATTGATTTTATTATATTAGTGATTGTTTTGCACCTGATTATCACTCTATTATATTTTTAAATATTGGGGTCAAGTTAATATACAGTAAAATGAGCCTATCTTAAGTGTACAATGTAATTTGTTTTGATATTTGTGCACACCCATGTAATCAATACTCTGGTCAGGATACATCTAACATTTCTATCACCTCAGAGTACTTCATTCTGATTCTTCCTGTAAATATTTACCTCTACAAGAAAATACTCTTCTGATTTCTATTACCATAAATTAGTTTTTTTCTGTTATTTATCTTGGTATCGAAGAATTTATATAACTGAAATAACTGTTGTTTCTGGCTTTATCATCTCAATATAATATTTTTGAGATTCATCTATATTGTGAATGTCAGTAGTTAATTCCTTGTATTGTTGAGTAGCATTCAATCGATTTAATAAACTAAATTTTTCTATTATGTAGTTGATGGAAAATTGGGTTGTTTGGAGTTTTGCCTGTTATAAGTGAAATTTATGTAATATTCTCATATAAGTAGTTTTGTTTGAAAATAATTGTTTCTATCTCTTGGGTAAGCACTTAAGACTAGAACTGAGAAAAAAAATGGGTGTATATTTAGTTTTACAAGAAACTATAAAATAGTTTTCCAGAGTGGTTGTATAAATTTATAAGCCTTCCAGAAAATATGACAGTTCCAATATTTCCATATCCTTATCAACTTTTGGTTTTGCCTATGATTTTTCTATTAGCCATTAGTTTGTTTTAATGTGACAACTAATTTACCATATAACTGATACTCTTGAGCAACATTTAATTTCCTAATGATGCTTATTGATTTGCATAAAGTTTTAATTTTGATGAAGTCTATTTTTTACTTCTATGCTTTGTCCTTTTTTGTCTTACCTATGAAATCTTTGATTAATAAATGTCATTAATATATTTTATTATGTTTTCCTACTATTGGGGTTGCTTTTTTTGTTTGAGTATTTAAGTTTCCTTTATTCCAACTTTATCCAGTTTTTTCTGCATCATTTGTTAAAAGACTTTCCTTTTTTAATTAATTGCTTTGATACCTTTGTATAAAATTAACTCATGATGTTTGTGTGGTTCTATTTCTGAGCCCTCTGTTTGGTATCATTGGTCATTAATTTTGTTCTTTTACCAGTTCCACACTTTTCTGAATTATTGTACCTTTATAGTAAGCTTCAAAATCAGGTGCTAATATTAACAGTATACTTATTCCAACTTTCTTCTCCTCTTTCTCCTCCCCTTTATCTCTACATAGATAGATTAAATATTTTATAGAGTTTTATGTCTATCTATCTACACATTTTCTTTAATTTGGGTATTCTATTATTTTGTATTTGATTAATTTTAAAATAAATGTAATCAATTAACCCCAAGTTTTTATTCCCCAAACGATTATTTCTTAAATGAGATTCTATTTATAGATTAAGAAAGGATTGATATCTTACCAAACATTCTGGTATTGAGTCTTACAATCCGTCCACATAAAGGAAACATTTATTTAGGACTTCACAATTTCTTTCAACATTTTTTGTAATTTTCTTTCTAGTGATCTTACCCATCTATTTTTCATATGTGTCTAATGTGTTTAAACCTATTTATGCTATTTGGTTTATTAGAACAATCAAAAGTAAATATTTTGATTACTAAAAAGAGAATTTTGTCTCTAGGAGAGAAAAAACAATGAAAACTACAGAGAATCTATTAAAGATGAGGATTCCTAGTAGCAAAATCAGACACAAGTTTCATTACCTTGAGATGTTAAAAGTTATTTTTAATCTGTTATTTAAAAAAATTTCTAGAGCAAAATTTATTCATCATATACTATAGTTCACCCTCACCCATGGAGCTACATTCAAACACCCCCAGTGGATGCCTGAAACCACAGATTACACTGAACCTGATATACACTACCTTTTCCTATATGTACACACCTAAAATAAAGTTTAATTTATAAATTAGGCAAAGTAAGAAACTAACAACAATAACTAATTATAAAATAGAACAATTATAATAATATTTTGTAATGAAATATATATTAATGTTGTCTCTCATCTCAAAATATCTCATTGTACTGCACTCACTCTTCTTGTAATGATATAATAAAATGCCTACATGGTGAGGTAAGTGTGTGACTAGTGTTGGCATTGTAACATAAATTTGAAAATACAGAAATAAACAATTCTCGAGTTTTAAATTGTGCATTGTTCTGAGTGGTATAATAAAATCTCACACCATCCTGCTTTATTCTGCTCAGATTTTTCTTACTCAGTAGGTATATTGGTTGTCAACTCAACTATCTCACTATCACAGTGCTTGGTGTTCAAGTAGCCATTTAAAAAAATGTATTATACTTTAAGTTCTGGGATACACGTGCAGAACGTGCAGGTTTGTTACACAGGTATACACGTGCCATGGTGGTTTGCTGCACCCATCAACCCATAACCTACATTAGGTATTTCTCCTAATGCTATCCTTCCCTTAGCTCCCCACCCCCTGACAGGCCCCAGTGTGTGATGTTCCCCTCCCTGTGTTCATGTGTTCTGGCCCCCAAGTGTAATAGCAATGGTTTTGTTTTTTTTCAGACTGTAATTGACTGATACGGAGGAAAGAAAAACTATATAAAATAAAGGGACTACTGTACTAATTAATTCCACATAATATCAAAGTCATATATTGTAGAAGAGCAAGTATTAGTATTAGGTAATATGCTATCAAGGATAAAACCAATAATCTTAGATAATAAGACTTAGCTCTTGACATTAATTGTGTGTCTGCGTGTATGTGGGTGTAAACGGCTGTAACTGTTTATCACGGAAGAGACAAAACTAGAAAAGATGAGTTGGATTTGGTATTGATGGAAATTCATCTCTGTACAGCAAGAAAATTCATTCATGTGCAAATAGAGATTGAATAAAAGGGCAATTCACATTCTGCTTTATTAGAGTGAGAAAGTGATCATCGATAATATACTGTCTGACCTTAGTGTTGACAAAGATAGAAAAATCATAACTTTGGTCAAACCTTTGTCTGTAGGTACACAATTTTTTCGAACTGCTGTGTGATAATTTTAAGAAAATTTATTCATTTTAATATAGCTTTTCTATACTGAAGTCAGGTAGTTGTTAAAATGGAAATTACTCTCTTGAGATTTAGCTGTTCCTGTTGTTGATTTTACTTCATTATTTTTCTACTTATGATTACACATGATTAGATTTTATAACTGATAATGTTAGTGAAAAATAAATTTAAAATTTCCATCGGGTTATCAAACTAAAATAGTTTAGTTATATGTATTCTATATTTTAAATATCTGGAATATTTTACCAGAGGTGGAAGTGCCAGGATTTTAAATAATAATAATATTTCAATATTTCTTAGAAACACAAAACTAGTACAGATAGCATAATCATTGAGAACTGAACACTATCCTAACAACTGAGGTTTCAATATGGCTTAGAAAGGAAATAGATAACATACCAATGGGTAAATGTAATAACTACATTCATAAAGTAGAAGAAATATTTTTGGAGTTTTATTTAACCAAAAGTAGGCATTGAATTGACATTATCAATAAATGTTTAATCTTTGAGATTTGAAAGTAACTAAAATATCCTCTAGAGTATTGAATATCTATCTATCTATCTATCTATCTAGATCTATATCTATCTATTTTATTTATTTATTTATTTATTTATTTATTTATTTATTTATTTATTTATTTTGAGATGGAGTCTCGCTCTGTCTCCCAGACTGGAGTGTAGTGGCGCAATCTCGGCTCACTGCTACCTCCGCCTCCCGGGTTCCAGCTATTCTCCTGCCTCAGCCTCCTGAGTAGCTGGGACTACAGGCACCCACCACCACGCCCTGCTAATTTTTGTATTTTTAGTAGGGACGAGGTTTCACCAAGTTGGCCAAGATGGTCTCCATCTCTTGACCTCATGATCTGCCCCCCTTGGCCTCCCAAAGTGCTGGGATTACAGGCGTGAGCCACCCTGCCGGGCCGCACTGAATATATTCTTTAGTGAGTAATAGTGGAGATTAAAAACCTTAAATAGTTTGCTTTAGTTTGCCTAAAATTACTGTTGAAATCATAGACCAAAATGTTCACTATTTCTAAATAAGACACCTTAAGGATATGAAAGCGCAAGTATTTTGAATGCACAGATATTTTATGAAAAGCATAAAGCAGAAGGCTGAAAAATTACTTGAATGTAAAATATGTTAAAAACCTAAAATGTTGGTATAACTTAGATTAAGCTTCATGTTATTTCAAATTGGACTTATATTTATAACTTACAAGTTTATAGTCAAAGTGCATCTGACCAGTTTATTTGTAAAGAAACCTTCCCTTGTTATTTTTGCATTTAACTCTAAAATGCTTACTTTTTTATTTTTTGCTTTTCAAGTCTCTGCTTATTTAAGTATTTGTCGTGGACATTTTCATTTAATTATTACAAATTTTTGTAAAATATGTGTTTGCTAAAATATGATGCTTAACTCACTATATAAGGCCATATTAATTTTATTTGGTTATCTCACTTACATGTAAATCAGTTGACTTCACAATAAGAAAAAGCAAGATTTTCTTTTTGTTGTAAAGTTATTCTACATGCCTTTTTAGGAATATGAATTGATTCATTTCCAAGAAGCAACGCAAAGTAAGTTTTCCCTGACAAGTGAGAAATAACTTCATAGTTTTTAATCTATATTGAATCCAACATCTTAAGTTGCCTGACAAAACTGCCAAACACTTCCAGTCATTTCATATGAATGATAATTGTAAGTTAGGATATTCCAATTTATTATTTATAATGAGTAAGCAAGGAAACCTATTAAAGATTAAACCAGAAGAGTGTTTTCAGCCATTCATCAACATTATGTTTTAGAGAGCTTTAAAAATATTATAAACAATGCCAACTTCCTCATCAATTAAAACTATTAATAGTTCTTTTTACTCTTATTTACATTTTATTTTTCAATTTAAACACTATGATGGTATTTTTAACTTACCTGAAATGTATTGTCTGCTTTTATATAAAATCCCTGGTAGACTTTGAGAGTTGAAGAAATTTTGAAAAATGCTAGGGATAATATCTGATCAAGAAATAATTATAAGATGAAGATGAATGAAATAGACATAAACATATTTGCAGGCTGAGAGAAATTTGTCATTAAAAAATAGCCAGCTGTGGGCTGGGTTGCAGACAGAGATAAGAGAGATGAGTGTTGGGGCAATCCCATGAGAGGCTGTGTTGTTCATAACTGGCTTAAGGGATTTCTTCCCCTGAAATTAAAATTAACCACAGACAATAATGGAAATGCATATGTTGAGAGGTTTCTTTGTTGATTTAATATTCTGTTAGGTTGTGCTCTGAGTTAAGGATAAGTGTTAGAATAGAGCAAGGTACAAGAGCTGTGGATATTTGGAAAAGATGAGAAAACTGGGATATGGAGCTGTTTAAGAACAAAGAAGGAGTAATATAGACAGTACAGAAGGCTCAGGGAAGTTAGAAATTACTATGGGATTGTTTTCTAACAGCCATTAGTTCAAAGGGTGCATGAGATACAACAATGAAATAATCTGTACAACAAACTCCCATGGCACAAGTTTACCTGTGTAACAAACCTTCACATGTACCCCGAATTTAATATAAGTTTTTAAAAGATAATTAAAATTAGTAAATTTTGAAATAACTTTGTATTTATTAGTAAACTCAGTTCATGCAATTTACCAAAATGATTACTAAAATTCTGATTTTAGTTTAAACACACACACACACACACACACACACACACACACACACATATTTTATATTTCATGGCCAAAGTAAATCCCATCAGTTTATAAATTTTTGGGGAGAAATAATTATGCCCTATATCCTTACTTTCACTAGAAACAAATATTATAGTGCCCACCACATAGAAACTGCTAAAAAATAAGGGAATGGAAATCCACATTATGGTTTTCTCTGTCACACTTAATTCACATTAGTATTATTAAAATTAAAAAGAATAATATAAAGCTTAGCTATTTCCCCAAAGGCTAAGTTATTTTAGCAACTTGGAACACTCTTCTTGAATTAATTTATTCCTGAAATAAGGAGTGGGAAAGATTCTAAAGTGAAGACTTGTAAGTTTCTGTAATTTTCTGTACCTGTTACTGAACCTAGTTTAATTATCTTTTAAAAGTATCCTCTGACTCTTACTCAGGTAATCGGACCACCTTTGATAAATTAATACCACTTAGGGTCTCCTCATTTCTACAGAATATGATATGCTCTTCCAATTAAACCTTTAGAGATGCTGCTTCTGCTGCTGAAAACCAACCAAATGGGAATTATTATGGAGGAATAAAAATAATACATGCATTTTTTTCTTCAAAATTGAGAGGATAAAGAAAAAGTAGGGCAAATATGTACCATGGGAGGAACTATGCAAGAAGATAGGCTGTATCAAAAATTAATTTTGACAAGGTAATAAAACATATACTGTGAAGGATATTTTGGAAAGCAGAGATTAGAAAATAGACTAGAAAATGACAGTAAGTTTCCATGAAAATCTTGAAAAAATCCTTGGTAATATTGTGAACTATGATGATACCCTAGAGAGCAAACAGGGGCATTTCATTCCAATTATTCCAGCATCATATGTTTGAGTTAATTTCACATTTTAATATAGTTCACTTCTATGCCAAATATCTACCTTAGCTTTTTCTGGCACATAGTAGGCATTCAGTTTATATTGCTGCATGGATATATAATTTTATTACATCAGTACAAGTACTTAGCATGTGCTAATATGATTCACAGTGCTGGAGATAAAATATTAATATTGTAAAATTTACTTTGAACAGGACAAAGAGTATACAATTTTCTGTCTTAAAACTAATATATGAATTCACAGATTCACATCTGAAATGGAATTCTTAGAATCATAAAAATGGCAAACCATCTAATTTATCCCTGCATTTAAAATTTCTAGATATTTTAAGGTGAGAAATGTTAATGCATTTATACATTTATTCAGTTATGTCTTAGCTGCTTTCATACAACCAGAAGGCACCACACTGAAATAAAGAGAACACAACTAGAAATAGTGATTAAAGCGAAGAGGACTTCTACTATTTTCTCAAGCTAGGAACAATTTTTTTTCAAAATTAGAATTAACTTTCTTTCCATGATTATGTTAGGTTGGTGCAGAAGCAATGGCAAAAACCACAATTACTTTTATACCAATCTAATAGTAGACTAATAACGGACAAACACCTCGAAAGCCTTTAAATATTTAACGTTTGTTTAAATGCAATATTGGACTTGATGTTACATGGTTGAAGAGAGTTGCTAAGTAGGGGTTTAATAGTGAAACAAGACATAACAGTGAAATAATATGTAATATATTACAAAGATAAAATATAAAATGTTCAAACTGAAAAGGCTAGTAAAAATCACAAAGTAATTAAAAATGGTGAGCAATTTAAAATCTACCTACTATTTAAATATATAATAAAAAGAAAATATTTATTTGTTAACATCAAGCATCATGATGGCAAAAGACAGAAATAGTTAAATGCAACTCCATTTTCTTTTCTTTTTTTATTTGACACGAAGTTTTGTTTTGTTTTGTTTTGTTTCGCTTTGCTTTGCTTTTTGAGACACAGTCTCACTCTTGTTGCCCAGGCTGGAGTGCAATGGCGCCATCTCAGCTCACTGCAGCCTCTGCCTCCAGGTTCAAGCAATTCTCCTGCCTCAGCCTCCCTTAGCTCTTGTTGCCCAACCTGTAGTGCAGTGGCACAATCTCAGCTCACTGCAACCTCTTCCTCCCGGTTCAAGCAATTCTCCTGCCTCAGCCTCCCAAGTAGCTGGGATTACAGGCGTCCGCAACCACACCCAGCTAATTTTTTTGTATTTTCAGTAGAGATGGGGTTTCACCATGTTGGCCAGGCTGGTCTCAAACTCCTGACCTCAGGTGACCTACCCTCCTCGGCCTCCCAAAGCACTGGGATTGCAGACGTCAGCCACCACACCTGGCCACAACTCCATTTTCCAAGATAGCATTGCTAGATGCCATGTCCACTATAGATACTTTCTACAGATACTATGAGACTGCTATTGAGTAGCATGCTACGGTTAACATTAAAGACATTTTACTGTGGGTGTTTATTTTCTCATGTACAGCAGAGGAGAGGACATTTCTGGTAATATCGTTATTAGGCAAATGGTTTATTTTCTAACTTTGTAACTTTAAGCTGGAGAATAACAGACGATTTGTCCCTTCTCAGTATTACCTATGAATTCTACGTACGTTATACTCAAGTTAGTATCTCCAGCTATTTATTATCTAAGAACCAACCAAAGAATATAGCTGCTTTCATATTATATCAAGACCATGGACTCTGTAAGTGTTATCCTCTAGTGTCAGTACTTAAACACCATCTATATGTGGGTGAATCCCAAATTATATCTCTAGTTTTTATTTCTGTTCTGATTGCCAGATGTGGACATCTAACAACCAAAGACATCTCAACTAGCATGCTGAAAATAATATGCCTTTTTTGCCTCTCCAAATTTTCTGGTCTCCAGCCTACCGTGTTTCCCTTAAGACCAACTGCCCTTTTCAGTTACCCTAACCATAAGCCCTAGAATTACCATGTCGTAGCTCTCACTTCATAACTTACATCCAATTCTTTAGCAAATTCTGTTATCGTTACCTTCAGAATATAGTCAAAATAACTTCTCACCACAATCACCACTAACATCATGGTTTAAACTTCTTCATTTCTTACCTGGTTTATTGTAATAACCTCCTAAATTTTCTCTCCACCCACCTTCCCTTGCTTTTAGTTTATTTTCGCATTAACAGTGCTCTTAAACTGTGAGTTTGATCACGTCATTCTTTGATCGACATCCTCCAATAGCTTCCCACATGACTGAGGGTAAATTCCTGTTCTCTGCCTACCTTTACAACCTTCCCTTTCACTCCCTCATTCCTTGATCATCAATTATGATGGTTTTCATGATGTTCTTCTAAATATCCAATTACTTTTTTCTTTAAAGGCCTTTGCATTTGCTCATTCTCTACTTTTTATATCTTTCTCAACTCCTTTCAAATTTTGGCCTAAATGTTACCTCATCAGAGATAATTTTCTTATCACTATATTTAAAGTGTCACTCTTATCATTCTTTATTTATATTTTCTCTATACTATGTATTACAAATCAGTTTATAGAGATTTTTTTTCTATAAGTTGACAATAGAACCCAATAAGAATATAAGCTCCAGGAAGATGAGGTTTTGTTTTGCTCACTAGTGTATTCTTATCAGCTAGCATAGAGCCTGTTGTGTGGCAGAAACTCAATTAACATGTGTTGAATGAATGGATCATGAATAATAGTGTTTTTTTAATAAATTGTGATTTAAAAAGAGTGGCTCCCGATTTATTATCCATTTGTTATTAATACGCTTTAATTTTTATTTTACATGCTACTTACTCTATTTAAAAAGTATCTTTCTCTCTGGTATCCTGTCTTTGGGAGGCAGAGGAAGAAGGATTTCTTGAGCCCAGGAGCTCAAGACCAGCTGGGGCAACATAATGAGACTCCATCTGTACAAAACATAGAAAAAAAAAGTTAGTTGGGCATGGTGACACACAACTGTGGTTCCTGGTATGCTGAAGGCTGAGATGAGAGGATTGCTTGAGCCCAAGAGGTACAGGCTGCAGTGAGCAGTGATAACTGCACTCTAGCAGCCTGAGTGACAAAGTGAAATCCTGTCTCAAATGATAATAATAATAATAACATTGAGTCTCCACAACCCCTTGTCTAAACCCAGACATTCTCTTCTATTGGTTCCAAGTCTTTAGGCAAGTCTAGCTTAAAATAAGTTGTTCAGCCAATTGCTAATAAGAAAATATTTGAATCCACTGATGACCTGGAAGCCCCCACTTCAAGTCGTCTCACCTTTCTGGACAAAACCCATATACATCTTACATGTATTGATTGATGTATTATGTCTCTTTAAAACATAAAAAAAAAAACAAGCTGTAGCCTTGGCACTTGTTCTCAAGATGTCCTGGAACTGTATCACAGGCCATTGGTCACTCATATTTGGCTGAGAAGAAATGTCTTCAAAATTAAGAAAAATTAAAAAAAAATAAGAAAGATCGAGTACCATCTTTACAAGTCTGGGAAAAACAAACAAACAAGCTTAGGAGTGAATAAATTATATAGAAAATACCAAGGAAAATTTCAATTTAAGGGTTTAAGAGTAAAGTAGTTATTGATCCTTTTGGCTGAGTGAAGGGGGGTCAGGAGGAATGGTGGTTCTGCTCAATAATGAAATTCAACCAATCAACACGTGCAACAGATAAAAATAGTCAAAGATAGAAGCTTTTGCACAAGAAATAATGTTTAGTTTTGTGTAGTGTTGGTAATATATAATTAAAAGCAAAATCTCCCCTCAACCCTGAAAACCTCTCCACAAATATAGAGGAGAAAAAAAATGTATTATTGAATAAGCATTAAACCAGATTGTGAAGTACATCACAGGCAGTCTACTAAGAGATGACAAAGACTGAAAGAAATCCCGCCTTATTAAGTAGCTAAGTAGATACAACCCTTGCAAAGTGTTCTCAAGATAAACAATAGCTAGCCCCCAACAGAACACTTGAAAACACCATTTGTCAAACAAAATTTATTCTAAACTCACTTGTGAATTAAGGTGACCAACTGTTTTACCTAATTGGCCTTATCCAAAGGAAAAATACACTTCTCATATCTTTATGACAAGAGACAGTTTTGTACCTTGTAGCTAAGCTACTGCTTAAGTGAGGCGTCTATCCTCCCATAGAAACTGAGAGATAAGGGTGTTATCTTCCTTGTGATTGCATATCAAAGAGACAGTTCTCAGGTCATAGAAAGACATTGCTGGGTCTTTAAGCTGTCAAGAGCGTTATTTAGCTTTTAAAAAAGATTTACATAGGTACACTTGGAAGAGACAGAAAAATAATTTATAATGACACATTTTTTACAGTAAATGCTCTAGGAAAAGGGAAAGGAGGAGTCTCTTCCCTTATTTTCAACAGGAAGAATCAAAACTCGTATTTTTAATTTATATTTGCCCTCACAGTAGAAATGTTTATATTGCTATTTACCTAATATTATTAATAATTCTTTCTGAATGATGAGATGTGTGATTTGAGGAGAGTGGGTGTTCTCATACTGCTAACTTTCTATATATCTTTACTTATATTTTAAAAACATAAATATATATCATTTAAATGACAGATAAGTAGATGAATCAAAATTGGAGCAAAGTGTACCTCACTTTAAATTTACAGAAACAGAATTTCAGAGATAAACTCTAGAAATATGGTTCTTTTTTAACGAACTTCAAAGGTATTTTTTTCCTAACTCTTTGAGGCTCATGCTATCATATTTGGTTAATTAATATAATTAGTCAAGTAATTTCTTTATTGAAAGTACATCTAAAAAATCTCCATTACATGAATCATAATGGGAACTAAGTGTCTAATAATAAAATTAGAAGACCAATTTCCAGACTTCAAGGTACCCACAATTTGGTAATGAATACAGACATAGGAAGGGGGCCCTATAATATACCCATTGATGTTATAATAAACATTCGAAGAGATCTCCAAGGGAATATAGAGTGACTCACTTTAGGAGAGTAGAGAAATGCATCAGAAAAAAAGTGTGCCCTTGGACTCTGAGGAAAGGGTAGAAGTTTCTCAGATATGCATAGAAAAGAACGTATTTTTGGTAGGGAAACTTCAGATTGAGGAGTCTTAAGACATCTTAACAGATTTTTTTCTCATTCATCAATTACTAATATCTGATCCAAGAATGAAACAAAAGAGGTAAAAAGAGAATCTCTATTTAGTGATTTCATTTTTAAAGGATGTTTATTATTATAATTAATTATGTCTGCATATGCCTAACATTATAATTAAAAGTTTTGGGGGGCAGATTTTAAATAATTACCTATCCTAAAACACTTGAGTGGTGTAGAATGGATGAGCTCTCATTAAGTGTACTAAATAAATCGTGGTTATGATTTTGGTGTTATACAAGAGCAAAGGCCATTTTGAGTCTGGCCCATTAAAAATAGAGACACCAAAACAAACTTTAATTACGCTTTACCATTTGATGATTTTAGAAACATAGCTGGTGGCACATCACAACTTTTTGATACACTGAGTAAGACTTTTATGTCTTTTTTAACACGGTTCCTTTTTTTTTCTGTTTGTTTTCTTCCTTCCTTCCCTCCTTCCTTCCTTCCTTCCTTCATTCCTTCCCTCCTTCCTTCCTTCCTTCCCTCCTTCCTTTCTTCCTTCCTTCCTGTGTTTTGATATGTGTTTTTATTTTTGTTTAAATATTTCAAAAAATATAGTTTATCTTTTGTAATCATTATTTGAGGGAATAAATTAAAATATTACCTATGTAATAATTCATTTAAGAAATTTTCACTTTTTTCAATTGTTAAAAGAAAAACTTCAACCAAATTAAATTTAAACGAGTTTAATTGAACAATGAATGATTGTCTAATCAGTCAATTCTCAGAATCACAGCAGATTCAGAGAGACTCCTGTGATATCTCCTGGTGCAGAACAAATTTATAGACAAAAAAACGGAAGTGATATACAGAAATTGGCAGTGAGGCAGAGAAACAGCTGGATTGGTTACAGGTGGATTGGTTACAGGTTGGCATTTGCCTTATTTGAACACAGTTTGAACACTTAGTAGTCTATGAGTGGTTGAAGTATGACCGTGGGATTGGCCAAGACTCAGCTATTGTTACAGGCAGATATTCTTAAATTAGGTTTTCAATCTTGTCTGCCTATAAAGTTAGATTACAGTTTATCCACAAGGACTCAAATGTAGAAGTACAGAGCCTTTCTCAGGCCATATTTAGTTTGCTTTAACAATTCCCCTCTTTTGGTAATTTTCTCAATTTTGAGAGATTGACCAAAACTTTAGTCATCGATATCACTTTTGCCATTGTAAATGTACTTATTTGATCTTGAAACCCACTGGGAAACAGTAGAACAATGGGTTTTGCAAGGAGGGAACAAAGAATGAGTAGAGGGTACCTCCTTATGCTGAAACATTCTGTTGGCAGGAGAAAAACAAAACCTGGTCCGTTTTAGGCATATTTAACACGAGTGACTCCATTGTGGTTTGGTTTGGTCTGTTGAGGCCTAGTGCAAGAGCTCAGTTCAAAACAATGTCCTCCCATAATTTTGCTCACAAAAATTTCCCCTTTTTGGTCAGGTTGTCAGATGACAGTTTGATCAAAACTCAGTGCCTTAGTGCCACTCTCAGTTACCATCAATTTGGATTTCTAGTCTCAGCATATCACTAATAGGTTATAGTGTTCTCATGGTTACACATTTCTTTCAGCTTTTGCAATTCCTGTTGAATAGAGACCATTTAGCATTTTGGAGATGAATGCATGAAAACATTTAAAACCTCTGAGAGAATACAGTGAGCCAGGGAGACCACACTTATGACTATTAGGAGGATAATACCAAGAGTTTAGAGTATGCTCCTTACCCTGGGTCCCGATAAACCAAACCACTTAAAATCAAATTGATGAAAGAATGAGCTAGTTAAGGAACCTACTCACTTAACTAGGTGGTCTTTTTGTTAATCCACTACAACTGACCCTTTATAATACCGGATATATTTTTCCATAGGCCAAAACTGCCAGCAGCTGCACAGATAATTCTCTGTTTAGATAATTCTACTATTTAGCATAACTTACACAAAAGAATTTAAGGTGTGTTGTGTAACCATAGCCTTTACAGTAGAATCTTCTGTGTGACGTATATATGATAAAATCATTCAGCTTTGCTTTCAGGTTAAAAAAATTTATCTAATCATTTTTCCTACCTAAGTGCACAAGAAAAATGAAACAAAGGAGTAGAACACAAAAGTCCCCGTGAATTTCCAAAAGCAAAATTTGACAATCCCTGCAATATTACCATTTCCTACCAGTTTCTTTCTAACCCAGTCAGATGTAAGTGGCCTCTAACTGGATCCAAGCTGGTTAATTACCAGATCATATCTCAT
The DNA here is from genome assembly GCF_000001405.40 of Homo sapiens. Lineage (NCBI taxonomy): Eukaryota > Metazoa > Chordata > Mammalia > Primates > Hominidae > Homo > Homo sapiens. Next base: position 66,684,614 of record NC_000006.12, on the reverse strand, counting down.
GCTGGACCCATTCTAGTTTCTGTCAGGACTTCAAAACCCAGTTTGGAATAGACATTTGCTCAAAGAAACTTGGAGAGCTCAAAACAGAAATCCATGGAGCTCTGAAATCTAAGAGAGAACTTACCATGATCCTCAGCTGCTCTGAGAGATTATAAGACACAAGTGGGTCCGGCGGGAACCTTGCTTGTTTACTTAGTGCTCCTAGGGATAGTTAGAAGCTCTACTTCAGATCCCACTTCTGACACCATCCGTGAAAAGAAAAACTTCAGCTGAATTAAATTTAAAGGAGTTTGAGCAATGAATGATTCACAAATCGGGCTTTAACACAATAATACAATTTCAAAGGAGATAGTTATTAAAATCTCTGATTTTATTTTTTTCCATAAACAAGAATATATACAAATATATTTTCCTGTAATACACGATGGAATAATATGCTTTGTAGTTGATACATAAAGGAGAACAAAAAATAGTTGGTATTTGGCTATGCATGGAATGGTTTACTCATGTTGTACATATTGTTTATGTTCATGTATTTTTTTTTTTTTTTTGAGATGAAGTCTTGCTCTGTCGCCCAGGCTGGAGTGCAGTGGCACGATCTCTGCTGACTGCAAGCTCCACCTCCTGGGTTCACGCCATTCTCCTGCCTCAGCCTCCCAAGTAGCTGGGACTACAGGTGCCTGCCACCACACCCGGCTATTTTTTTTGTATTTTTAGTAGAGAAGGGGTTTCACCAGGATGGTCTTGATCTCCTGACCTCATGATCTGCCCATCTCGGCCTCCCAAAGTGCTGGGATTACAGGCGTGAGCCTGTACACTTTCTTATTTCTTCACAGTATTCAAGTTTTTGAGCAAATTTTGCAATGCTGCCACTACTTTTAGTAGCAACAACAAAAACCACACTGTACACAGAGGAAATTTAGAAGAAAAAATAAAATGCATTAGTCTAATGTATTAAAAATTACCAAAGGGCAGTGACAATTTAAATTACTCTTGGTGATAAAATTTGATAATATTCAAATACAAAGCTAGGTTGATATACAAAATTTCAGAAGAAAACTAGTTCTTGGATGCTTCACAACATCATGGTAGAAACACTGAGAATGGCTTATTTCTACACACACCATAAATAAGAAACAAGTGTTAAAATATTTTTATGTTTGAAAATTATTTTTGAAAATAATTGTATTACTCTGATTTATTCTAACATATATGGTTTCATTTTATATTTACTTTTACATCTAAAGTAAAAATTCAAATATTCATATGTTAACATTTCAGTTATTTAGGGAACTATATTCTAATGCATTTATTAATTCAGTTTTTAATTTCTCTTCTACTTTCAGTTGCTTATTTCTGAACCTATAAGAGTAGTTATAAGAGAGCCAGAGCTGTTTATCAAATTAGCCTTCTACTTGGGCACACCATTTTATGCCGTTTTTAATTCTTGCATGTGACTTTACCTGTGACCATGTGTGCAAATAAAGCATGACAGTTTTGAACAAAGGCTTTTAAAAAAATATATTACCTTAGGTAAGGCCACATTTCCCATCAGCTGACTAGATATGGAAGACAAGGTGACCAAAAAATGGTGAAGCTATAAGGTGGAAAAAATAGGCTAGGTCCTTGAATCCTTACATGGAAGAAAACATCTACCTCTATTGCCTGACTGAGAAATAAACCTGTATATGAGTCTTTTTACTTTGTGGATCTCTTTAACTTACTATAATATAGACATAACTTAATGGGTCAATTTTGAATTACTTAGTAGTTGTCCCAAAGTTATAGGTGAAATAATTCAATTAAAAGTTTTTGATAATTACTTGATTAAATTCTCTATATTCTCCCTCCCTTGGTACCATTAGAGTAATTTTAAATTTATTCCTTCCAAAGATGACATTTTTAAAACGTATATTTTACAAAATATCTTAAGACATTTGGGAAACTGAAAAGAAAAAGGAAGCACGTTAGTAATTCTAGAAAAACACTTTTCATCACATCTTCCCATATCAGAAATTGTTCTCAGCACTCTATACATTTACAATTTGTAAATAATAAAGCTACGATTCCTAGTGAAATAACAAGAAAGCAAACTCATTTATTTAAATGAAGAATTTTGTTTACAAGAAATACATTAACAATGATGCATTATCATTGCTCCCGTTGTTTAGCTAAGGTTCTGTTAACTAAAATAAATAATCTTTGTTATCAAAAGAAAAGTGAAAGATAGTTGTGGCTGACAGGCAACAAATTGCTCATCAGGGCTTAGAACATTTTGTGAAGACTCATAATCATTACAATATAGCACTGAAACATACAGCTAGAACATAATTGTTTCTATTTTATTCAGGCTTCTAGTATGGATAGACAAGCAAAACAATGATGTGAAAGAACAATATGAAAAGAAATAATTTCATAGTATAAGTTTCAAATAATAGTTTTAATAAAAAATAAATGGGGAGTCTGCATTGAATATAAAATAAATTTGATCTGAATAGCAATATAGAAATTTATCAGCAATTAAAAACTGATGGGCAGGAGTTCATTTTTAAGCTAGCACTAAAATTGCACAGAAACTATAAATTACAAATATAGTTAATCTAACATTTATTCCATACATTTATATATGTTACTGTATTTCCATAAAGTAAATATGATAATTGATATAATGCTGAAAGAATAAAAATTCCTCTTAAGCAGTCATTTTTTCATTGCAAAATCTGACACCCAAGTCAGATTTATTTATAATGACTGTATTATCTGGATCTACTTTTCTTTTCTTTTGTAGGTTGTAGATTTAAACTTCAAGTCAAGGTGGAGTCACACTAGCAGCAACTTAAAAATGTACTTATAAATGTCTGCACTTTACAATTTTTACATATGACTGTTTCTAAAGCACAAAATATAACCAAGCAAACACACAGATCCATGATTTTATTTGATGAAGTAATATAAAGAGATTTTCAGTGAAAACTTGCAAATCCTTATATAGCTAGTAACTATCCTAATTTTAGTCATTCTCTAGAGGGTTTTTTTCTTTATTCTATGCTTAGCACAGACTCCAAGCAAATTATTTCAAGACTAGAGGCATGTATATATGCAAGGAGAATAGCATAAAATATGCTCTTTCATTTTCATGTAATTTAAAAGATTGGTTAAGACATCACCTTTGTGACTTTTTCTCAACATGGAATTCAGTAGGATAGAACAAATCAGAAAAAGAAATTTAAAAAAGAAGTACTTAGGGTGAGTAAACTGATATGTACTATGATTAAACATTGGGGAGTTAATGCTCAATTTGGTCAAAGTACATGAGTATGGTTTAGTAGTAAGACTAGAAGTCCAGTTCAGAGTAGTGATATGTAATATACAATCTGTATTTTTAAAAATATATTCACATGCTATTTTATTTTCATAGTCACTTCTAGAGTTCTGCAAGTATTACTTGCTTTGCAACTGGGCACAGAAAACAGGTCAGTTTTAGTCTAAAGTGATATGGCAAATTTAAAAATATGTATGATAAAGATAAAATCCTACATTTCTACCGTTCTTACATCTTAAGCTTTAATTGGTAATAATGTTATAGGTATATATTAGATTAATACAATTAACTAAATATATTTCTATATTTTTTATTTAATATGTATAGTGCATATGTTTACATATATACAAATGTAGTGCATATACATACAATATATTTATATTTATATGTGTATAAGGTAATACATAGTACCTCAGAAACTTGGAGCATGATCTTAATGGGAATCAGGAGAATGCTCACAAGACAGCCATAGAAATTAGCTAGTAAAGTGATCTTCACTTGTGGAAATTTTGGCCACACCGTTTTGAATTATAAAGGAGATTCAAGTATTTTCTATGCTCATTAGTCAGAATAAAACAGAACAAGAATAATCGCTCTTTTCTCCTCCCTCTGCCAGTAAATGAAAATATGTTTATGTGCACATGGATATGTACACTTACATATGTGCATATACAAATATGCACACACACAATATCAGCCTATAGAATTTAAGCAAATATGAAAAGGGCAGTCCTTCTCAATGGATACAAACCTGCAGGGAGCATGCCTCAGTGAATAAATGAAGCCTTTTTGTGAAGAAGCAAATGTCCCTGCATTCACATAGGTGCAATGCCACAATTTATATCTGATAAGTGGTTTATTTCCAAAATATATAAGAAACTCAAGCCGGGCACAGTGGCTCATGCTTGTAATCCCAGCACTTAGGGAGGCCGAGGCGGGTGGATCACAAGGTCAGGAGTTTGAGACCATCCTGGCTAACACAGTGAAACCCCATCTCTACTAAAAATTAGCCAGGCGTGGTGGCGGGCACCTGTAGTCCCATCTACTCGGGAGGCTGAGGCAGGAGAATCACTTAAATCCGGGAGGTGGAGGTTGCAGTGAGCAGAGATCACACCACTGCACTCCAGCCTGGGCAACAGAGTGAGACTCTATCTCAAAAAAAAAAAAAAATATATATATATATATATATATATATATATTTATCAAAATATGTATATTTTTATTATATTATATTATATTATATATGTTAGGAAAGCTATTAGCAAAAAGAAAAAAGATAACAAGTGTTTGCAAGGATGTGGAGAAAAGGGAACCCTTGTAGGCTATGAGTGAAAATGTAAATTATTCTTGCCATTTTGGAAAATAATACGAAGGATCCTCAAAAAATTAAAAATAGCACTACCGTATGACCCAAGATCTACTTCTGAGCATATATCTGCGGGAAATAAAATCAATGTTTTGAACTTGATATCCACTGCAGCGTTATTCACAATAGCCAAGATACGGAGTCAGTCAAAGCATCTGTTGATGGATAAGGAAATATGTGTGTCTGAATATTATTCAGTCTTTAAAAAGAAGAACATCCTGCCATTTGTGACAAGTTGGATAAATCTGGAAAACATTATGCTAAGCGAAATAAACTAGTTATAGAAAGACAAATATTGCATGATATCACTTATATGTGGAATCTAAAACATTCTAACTTAGAGATTTGGCATAACTTAGAGAAATTTTAAGTAAAATACGGTCTTCTCGGGCTTGGGCTGTGGGAAAAATGGGGAGATGTTGGTTCAGATTATACTATCTTTCACATCTAAGATGAACAAGTTCTAGATATCCAATGTGCAGCATGGTAACTATAGTTAATAATGTACACTGGAAGTGTGCTGTTTCTCACCACACACACACACACACACACACACACACACAAATGGGTAACTATGTGAGGTGATATATATGTTAATTATCTTGATTGTGAGAGTCATTACATAAAGTATACTTACATCAAAACACCACATTTACACCTTAAATATACTTACAAGCCTTCCTATTTGTCACTTATACCTCATAAAGTTGAGTAAAATGATAAAATTAAATTAAATTAAAAAATAGAAAAAGTAAAAGCACATTGCAAAATGATGCATTAGTCACTAAAAAACTGGAAGCATAAAACCTGACCTGTGAGCCTTTGCAGATGGGAGTTGGAGACCTCCAATCAACTGGCATAAAATTAGTTTAATTCGGAGGATAAAATACTTTTATCATTGAACAAAGTGGAATACTGAACTATAAAATGAAAGTCTCTAATGAGGATCTAACACTGAGGAGTGTAAGAGAATGCCATTGGCCATGTATCATGTGAAAAGCCTGTAGAGAGATATGTTGGGAAGGTGGTGAGTTTGTTAGGAGCAGAGAAACTAAGTAGAATGATAGAATATGATATACATTCTAGGGCTGTGACAACTTCTAAAATGTCCACTCATTTACTGCTTGGGCATTGTAATATTTCATAGCATGGGATCTTGCTTCAGGGTAGATTTGCATGTCAATGAAATGAAACAATTTTAGACAATTGTCCCATTCTTCCCACCTCACATCTTCAATATGATATTCTAATGCTTGCAATCATAAATATGTGAACATTGAACTTGCCATCTAACTGGGTAAGTAAAAATATTTTGTAGTTTCAAAGGTGATATTAAAAATAAAGAAACAAATAGGAAAAAAAAAAGGTAGTTTCAGAAATGATGGCATCTCCAAAGCGCTGAGAAAGATATACTTAACCTCCAATATGTCAGTAAAAAGAAGCTGTAGTTTCATTACTTAAATTTACTATTGGAGTTCAAAGAATATTTACCTTGCCAATCAACTATTATTCAGGATGATATGATAATTAATTTATATTATCTCAAAACACATAATCTGACAGTGAGATGTTTCTAAGAAGCACATTGGATTATATTTTAAGAATCCATTATGACGTTAAATATTTACAGTGAAAGAATGTATAGTAGTTCTTTTTGGTATGTATTTATTTATACAACATAGAATGATAATTGCATATAGGTCTACCACTGTGTATGTAACAAAAAACATTCAAAATTATAAGATTATTTCATAAGGTTTTCCCTAAGGCCGATGTGTTTACGGAGAGCTAGCATAGGTGGAAAATGAAAGGACAGGATAAGTAGAAAAGAGGATTACATTCAATGTTCATGTAAGCTAGGTATTTTATTTTGAGAATCCACTCTCATAAATGATATTCCTTGACATCATTATTATTCTGTTCTCCTCAGTTCAATACATTGGAATCAATGTTGTTTCTAGTTTTGTTTTGTTTTTATGCTTTTTCTATTTGTTCTTTCCTATTTCCCATTTCCTTCACCTCTCAGCTTTCACCACTTCTATTTTACCCAGATATTTTGCTTCTAATAACACATTTACACAGCTGCTACACTAGTTAATGCTTTCATTATTGCCCAGCCAGACAATTATTTAACTCTATCTATTCTCCTTTCTCCTAAATCTAGCTGTCAGATTACCTTTTCAGACACATCTCCTATTGTTGTATTTGTTAATATATGTGTATATTAGCGCTACATTATATTAAAAATAAGCTTTCTATTTTTTAAATGGTAATAAAAAAGACTATGTACCTGAAATATATAAAGCAATCATAAAAATGTCATTAAGGTGGTCTAAAAACAATAGGAAATTTATAATACAAAATTAAATCTTTCTTGGTCAACCAAGATGAAATTGCCTTCCCTTCCATCAATTTCTATCTTTGAAAAATCTTTCCCACTGGAAAGTCAGGGTTGAAAGGCTAGTGTGGCTAAGGTTTACATGCCAATTGTTTTTCCCATATTGATTTTCAAGAACAAAATATCAATAAAATATTTATAGAATATGTAACAAATAATAGAGAAAAAATAAAATATTTTCTTAAAGTTATAGTTCTTACTTTTCTTTTGGTAATTGTATTTAGCTGCTTATTTTATTTACAAATAGCTGAAAGAATAAGCCATATGCATTGTAGTTTCCTCCATTGGTCTATTTTTTTAATAAAAACTTTACCAATTAAGAAATTAGCATTGAGAAAATGTTTTAAAAATTAAAGTCATTATGTCTTCTTTTTTCTTACATTAAAAATAAGCCTAGATTTAAAAACATATATATATTTATATATATATTTATATATATATAATTTTAATCTATCGTAGGTTGGAAGAAGCTAAAAAATTGACACTGTTATAGATGAAAACAAAGGGAAAAAACACATGGTCAAGCATGATGCATTAGAAATAGACAGAAGAAAGAAATTGAGAAATTTCTGAAGACAGGATAATTGCATCATATTTTACTATAGAATATACAGAAAATAAAGATAAACATTGCAATTATTTCATATACTCTGAATTTTTGTAACATGTCTTTGTTATAATTTGACAAAATGCCAAAAAAGTTAGCATTCTGGCGGATGACTTTTTCTATCAGTTCCACAAATATATGCTGAACCATTTGCACCATCTGCTGTGTAAGCTTTTGCAGAAAGAAGGACAATAGACACTTTTGGATATCAATGTTAAAATGTAATTTAAGAGAATATACTGTATCAAAGAGAAAGAAACCAAAATAAATAAAATGACAAGAAGGTTCAGAACAGGATGGAAAAATAATGAAAGTTGAATCTTCTCATCATACCTTGCCTTTGATATGTTTGGAAATATTTACATAGAAATATGATATTTCTTAGCGATACAAAGTAAAATAAATTTTAATCAAACTATTCTTTGGAATACTAATAAGTAAGAAATATATTGTTGGGCCACATTCTTTAATTAAACGTATGTAGGTATTCCCACATAGTAGGAAATGATAACAGATAAGAAAGCATTTTGTGTTAATTAATTTAAATATTTGTAGAAAACAGTTTATAAGTATCAAACTGTTGTTTTATAAAATATGTGCTATATTCTCTAAACACAGACTTTTTATTGAGTTATTTATGGCATGAGTCCAAGGATGGTTTTACATAACTGTGCAGTAATAATATTCTGGTTTTAGATGACTATCTCTCAATGTAAATGCTCTTTCTTAGGATTATGTCAATTTATAGGACAGTAAATCACACACACACACACACGCATGTACGCACGCACAGATATGCCCTTCAGAAGGAAGAAGAACCATTGCATTGTTCTCATTTGCGGGAAAGTGCTTTTTCTTTGACTACTCCTCAGCTGACCTCAGTACATGACTGTGAAACTCATTTTCTGGAAGAATTACAAGATCTCTAGCTGAGCTCATTAGCTTTTATCCTGGACTTGTGAATTCCAGTGTTCTTGCGTGGAAACCAGAAATTAATTTATTCAATTCTTTATTTATATTTTTATTAGTTTAAGGAAACAAAGTACATATAAATTTATTTGACTATATAAACATAAAAACACAAAGCTATTATAATAATCTGAGTTAAAATTGTCTTGTTTTCACCATACAGCTTTCTTACTTATCCTTAAAGTACTTTAGACTTTGATTTTTAGTTCTGAATATTTGGGCACATGAACATATACGCTACTCTCATGAGCTTGATGATAGTCCCCTAAAAGATATTTTCATATCTTAATTTCAAGGATCTGTGAGTATTGCCTTATATGGCAAAAGATGCGATTAAATTAAGGATTTTGAGAGATTGGGTTATCTTGGATGATATAGGTAGGCCCTAAATCCAAGTGCCCTTGTAAGAGTAAAGCAGAGAGTGATTTGGTAGAGAAACAGAATGGGAAGCAATGTGATCACAAGGGTAGAAAGTGGAGTGATGTGGAGAGTCACAAAATGCCAACAACCACCAAAAGCTAGAAGAGGCAAAAAACACACAAATTATTCTTTATATTACCCCAGAGAGAGTCTAACCATGACAGATTTCCGAAGTCTAGGCTCCAAAATTGTGAGATAATAAATTTCTATTGTTTTGAGCCATCAGGTTCATGGAAAAGTATCACAGTAGCCTCAGAAAAGCAATACAGTATCCTTGGAAAATAAAAGAAAAGACTATGAAATTTTTACACATTCAGAAATAATTGTTGAGACTTAAAGAACACAAAGATACTATTATTTTAATTTCAAAAATTAGTAGTTATATCTCTTAATCATGTATTGAATCAATATAATGTCCCAAGCTCTATGATGGCCACCACAAGGATTAAAAAAAGGTTTGGTCTCGCCTCTTCAGGATTTCACAATATAGCAACATGTCCCATCTATATCATATGTACAACGTAGCTCAAAAAGCTAAATATCAAGCTTTAATGGAATAAGAGGCAAGCAGAAATGTGACCAAATTCACTGTAATCAACTTCTAGACAGTGTGTTATGATGGAAAATATATTAAGTTTAAATCTGAATTCTTCCACCCATGACCAGCAGACTGTAGGCAAGAAAAATAAAATTGTTGAGGCTCTGTATCCTTATGTCTAAAGATTACTGAAATTTTCTTAGATAATAGATCTGGAGAAGGAATAAATGAGTTAATTCCTATAAAATGCAAATACCTTTTGTCTTAATAATGCTTCAAAGCAATTAGTAGATAACTTCCATCTGCCAAACTTTCCAATGGTTGCTTTATTTTGGGGTGGGCAACTCATTTCACTTTTTTTTTTTTTGGAGTTTTCCAGTTGTACCATTGAAAGTCTCATGTCTTGGAAGTCTCCTTAATCCTAGTCAAACTGCAAAAGTTGGTCACCCTATTTCTTAATGGTCACTAAACACCTGGCCCACAATCAATGATGCTTCTGGTATTCATGTTCTTTTGTGGTCCTTATTGAATTTAGTCTGTCTGTTTTCTTCATTTACCAATATAAGGCAGCCAGATTAATAGTCTGAGACTACTCAGTCTGAGTTTGGAAACTGGCAGCCTTTGCGTTTGTGTTCTCTGGAAATCCAGTAATGCAAAAAGAAAAAAAAAAATATGTGGCATTAAGCCACTAGGTTTGTGGTCATTTGCAACTGTAATAGGCTACTATAGTAATGGTAGAATGATGATAGGTTGATGATTACACCACAGGCAGCAAGGCAATAGGTGTGGTGCTATACCTGCATGAAAGGATTTGGCCCAGGACACATGGTGAGGAGTTAATGCTCAGGTATCTTTCATTAAGATAGAATAGACACTTAGAAATTGAAATTATTTCATATATTCTGAATTTTTCTAACGTGTTATCAAATATTTTATTTAATTTATTTAATTCCTTTGAAAGCTACAGATGGAAACTTGCTGGTGTGTGATGAAGATCTTTGCTTCCACACTCAACCTATGGCCAGGTATTTGTTTCTCATTTTGAAAGGCAAGTCAAATAGTGACATATTAATTTATTACCACACTTCCGTGGTGTAAGAAATTAGTTTGTTACTCAGTAAAATGTCAGCCTATATAAATTCCATCTCATGTAATTGGGAGCTCAGATGTATAATTTCCTCAGCCTTTGGCCACCTTTGCTTAACAGCCCTTGAAGAAGACAGTGCTTAGTTCTTTATATTTAATTCTGGCTGCTCCAAAATATAGGCAAGTAGCTAGTTGCTCAGAAATAGGCTGGTCTAGATTCTGGCAGGAACTATGGTTCAACTCTTTAAAGAAGTCCAAGAAAGCTCTTGTGTTTGGGTAAATAAACCAAATTGGAAAAGAACACTACAGTTTGATAGAAAGAGAGATGCTTCTTGCCAGGGAAACCTGCTTATCTCATGCAAAAGAGAGAATATAGTTTGTTCTTCTTCATATATTAATTAATATTTATTTTAAAATGGTATTTCTAAATATACTTATATCCAGCTACAGTCAACATTATTACAGTTTACCAAACTTGCTCTGCTCTTAGATGCTGAACTAAGTTTGAACACATGCTATGTAATGCTTTGCAGAGTTTTAAAGAACAATCTAGTCTAAATAATCAATATTTATATCCTCAAAAGTCCTTCCAAGTAGAAATAGAAAATGTCTAGGATATCGGTTATATCTCTGTAGCCAGATGCCTGGGGTTCAATCTTTACTCTGCCATGTATCACTGTGTGATCTTCCGCAATCTACTTAGCCAGTGCCACATTTCTTCCTGTGTTAACCTTGGTTGAAAATTGTATCTGTTTCATAATGCTGCCAAAAGAATTAGATTAATTCATATTTTTAAAGTGCTCAGAACAGTGTCTTGATGCTAAGAGGTGCTAAAATGTATATTAATTATAAAGATTCAAGAAAAGTAAAGGACAGTAAGGTAGAAATTAAGAAATGATATCAGAATTTCAGAAGTTGTTAATCGAAACAAAATGCCAAGGTTGGCTTTAATCAGGGGCCATTTGGTTGCAATCAACAGGAATGATTATTTGATTAGTTAAGGCAAAAAGAGGAATATATTAAAACATACGCAAAATCAAATGGCAAGAAACAGTCATCAGAAGATGCAACAGGAACTGGAAGATTGAGAGTCAAGATTTTTCTTTCTAAACTTCCACAGACTTTTATCATTTACTTCTTTCACGTGATTTGTATTTCTGCCTTAACAAACTTAACTTTGCTTTGATATTTCCCTTACAGAAAATTATCACTCAATTTCTCCCTTGGCACGGCTCTACAGCGCCCAAAACAGAGTAGCTCAAGTGACTATTTTGTAGGTAAAAACTTGTATTACTGCAGGTTTGGTCAGATTTTCATTCTGTTAGAGGTGGTGTGCACCTTTATTTTGTTAGAGTTGGTGTGCAGTGGAAAGACATTCCTGAGATGTATGTCCACGATAATCCATTATTCTCTTTCATAAGATGTTGGCTTTTGGATGGAACTTCTGATTATTTTAAGAAACACTTCCAACCTTGTTCTCTAAACTGAAGACAAATTTAAAAACATGAAGCTGTCTATAGATTTAATATATTTAACAACCCTCAACTTCTGTAAAATAATTTAGGTGTTTTAAATGATGACATAAGGGGAATGAGGTTTAGCCTATGGTATATTTAAATGAGAATAAGACATTTGCATTTTCTCCCAAGAATACATTTTCAAAATCAAAATTTCAATAATATGACCAATAAAAAATTGGGGAAATTAGAAGAAATGGAAATACAAAGTAGCAAATATGGGTTTGAGGTCTACACTGTGTATATGAATGCTTGATATTCTTGGAACATTTACTGTTTGCTAACATAGAAGACCTTATGATCTTGCCTTTCTTAAACCTCCTATTATCTTGTTAATTTCTCCTTTCTTTTTCACTAAAAGTCATTTGCCTGTGGTCTCAATTCAGATCCCTCTATATGACTCAGGTTTTACCTGAGTCCAGAAGTGGGAATAAAATATTATTCTATTCAATGACCTCTGCAGACTTAAATGTCCCTGTCTGACAGCTTTGAAGAGAGCAGTGGTTCTCCCAGCACGCAGCTGGAGACCTGAGAACGGGCAGACTGCCTCCTCAGGTGGGTCCCTGACCCCTGACCCCCGAGCAGCCTAACTGGGAGGCACCCCCCAGTAGGGGCAGACTGACACCTCACATGGCCGGGTACTCCTCTGAGACAAAACTTCCAGAGGAACAATCAGATAGCAGCATTCGTGGTTCATGAAAATCCGCGGTTCTGCAGCCACCGCTGCTGTTACCCAGGCAAACAGGGTCTGGAGTGGACCTCTAGGAAACTCCAACAGACCTGCAGCTGAGGGTCCTGTCTGTTAGAAGGAAAACTAACAAACAGAAAGGACATCCACATGAAAAACCCATCTGTACATCACCATCATCAAAGACCAAAAGTAGATAAAACCACAAAGATGGGGAAAAAACAGAACAGAAAAACTGGAAACTCTAAAAAGCAGAGCGCCTCTCCTCCTCCAAAGGAACGCAGTTCCTCACCAGCAACGAAACAAAGTTGGACGGAGAATGACTTTGACGAGTTGAGAGAAGAAGCCTTCAGACGATCAAACTACTCCGAGCTACAGGAGGAAATTCAAACCAAAGGCAAAGAAGTTGAAAACTTTGAAAAAAATTTAGACGAATGTATAACTAGAATAACCAATACAGAGAAGTGCTTAAAGGAGCTGATGGAGCCGAAAGCCAAGGCTCGAGAACTACGTGAAGAATGCAGAAGCCTCAGGAGCCGATGCGATCAACTGGAAGAAAGGGTATCAGTAATGGAAGATGAAATGAATGAAATGAAGTGAGAAGGGAAGTTTAGAGAAAAAAGAATAAAAAGAAATGAACAAAGCCTCCAAGAAATATGGGACTATGTGAAAAGACCAAATCTACGTCTGATTGGTGTACCTGAAAATGACGGGGAGAATGGAACCAAGTTGGAAAACACTCTGCAGTATATTATCCAGGAGAACTTCCCCAGTATAGCAAGGCAGGCCAACATTCAGATTCAGGAAATACAGAGAACGCCACAAAGACACTCCTCGAGAAGAGCAACTCCAAGACACATAATTGTCAGATTCACCAAAGTTGAAATGAAGGAAAAAATATTAAGGGCAGCCAGAGAGAAAGGTCGGGTTACCCACAAAGGGAAGCCCATCAGACTAACAGTGGATCTCTCAGCAGAAACTCTACAAGCCAGAAGAGAGTGGGGGCCAATATTCAACATTCTTAAAGAAGAGAATTTTCAACCCAGAATTTCATATCCAGCCAAACTAAGCTTCATAAGTGAAGGAGAAATAAAATCCTTTACAGACAAGCAAATGCTGAGAGATTTTGTCACCACCAGGCCTGCCCTAAAAGAGCTCCTGAAGGAAGCACTAAACATGGAAAGGAACAACAGGTACCAGCCACTGCAAAATCATGCCAAATTGTAAAGACCATCAAGGCTAGGAAGAAACTGCATCAACTAATGAGCAAAATAACCAGCTAACATCAAAATGACAGGATCAAATTCACACATAACAATATTAACTTCAAATATAAATGGATGAAATGCTCCAATTAAAAGACACAGACTGGCAATTGGATAAAGAGTCAAGACCCATCAGTGTGCTGTATTCAGGAAACCCATCTCACATGCAGAGACACACATAGGCTCAAAATAAAAGGATGGAGGAAGATCTACCAAGCAAATGGAGAACAAAAAAAGGCAGGGGTTGCAATCCTAGTCTCTGATAAAACAGACTTTAAGCCAACAAAGATCAAAAGAGACAAAGAAGGCCATTACATAATGGTAAAGGGATCAATTCAACAAGAAGAGCTAACTATCCTAAATATATGTGCACCCAACACAGGAGCACCCAGTTTCAATATGTATTTTTATAAATGGCATGACAAATATATTCATTCATTAGCAAATATTTATTTTGCCAAATACTTGTTCGTAAAATTGGGTAAGTCTATAATTTTTGTCTTCAAAGATATCATAGGTGAAAGGGCAAAACAGGTAAATAAACAGGTTCCTAACAAATTCAGAACATTTGTAGAAGGTAAGTAGTGGTTGCAAGTGATGAAGCTTCTAGGATGAAGCATCTTATAATTTGCTGGCAGAAGTTATCCCAAATAGTGAAAGGAAGAATGGGATAAGGTGCTGTTACAGAGAAAGAATTACAAGCTAGGGAACATGCAATTGGTGGTTTGGTATGGCTGAAATATTGAATGCAAGGGGTAGAAAGTAAAAAAAATATGCCCAGGAAACAAGAAGGAGAAGATCAAGGAAGTTCTACTCAATCTATTAAAGGTTTTAGGTATTAAGTCACAGACAATAAAGTTTTGGAAAGCAAAAAGTCAGCAAAATCAAATCCCATTGTATAGGCTAGGTGTGGTGGCTCACACCTATAATCCCAGCACTTTGACAGGCCAAGACAGGTGGATTGCTTGGGTTCAGGAGTTTGAGATCAGTCTGGCCAACATAATGAAACCCCATCTCTACGAAAATAAAAAGATTAGCCTGGTGTGGTGGTGCACTCCCATAATCCCAGCTGCTGAGGAGGCTGAGGCAGGAGAATCGCTTAATCCCAGGAGGCAGAGTTTACAGTGAGCAGAGATTGTGCCACTACACTCCAGCCTGGGCAACAGAGCAAGTCTTTGTTAAAAAAAAAAAAAAAAAAAAAAAAAAAAAAAAGAGAGAGAGAGAGAGAGAGAAAGAAAATCCCATCATATGAATGACTATCTGAGAATCCGTGGCTCAGCAATATAAATAGAGTAGGTTTCATGTAGCCACTGATTAGAACATGAGGGTAAGTGACAGAGGAATGCAGTGTTAGAAAACAAGTTTCTGCATCAGATGATGAAATTAGAGGTGGGTATTATGGAGTCATTTAGCAAGGTGAGGTGCAGAGAATGGGAATTTTTCTTCAGGGAAGGGATTCTTTTTTTTTTGGTTTAGACATATTGAGGTTAGCAAGTAGATTGACACGCTGGAATTCAGGAGCAAAATCTTCTCGTAGAAGGAAGGTCTCTATCTGTCTCCCTCATATTAGACTGAATAACACTGTTTGTATCACAATTAATGGGAAATGAAATTGTTGACAAGTTTGTGTACACAGCAGTATCATTTGTTTTTTAAAAATTATTCATAAGAAAATACTTTATCTTTCTGTTTAGAAAAGTTGTTGAAGTTAAAATTCTCTATTTCTTACATATATCTAAATACTTTTGTATGTTGCCCCACTGTTCTTGCCATGTAGTTTACATAAGGAAAAAAATGTATTTTCTAGCATCCATTTATCAATGAAGGCACATCACCAAATTTCACATAGTTGTCTATATGTACTCTCAAAGATAGAAGCAGGTCCCTTTGAATCTCAATTGTAGGCAGTAGTGTACAGGTAAATGTTTAACCACTGGCTTTCTATTAGAGAAAGAAAAAAAAAAACAAAACACCTAATGTGTAGCATTTGCCAGTCTCTATGGTGTCAATGCCCTACCATTGTTGTTGATTTCAAGCTTCCAGTGGAATGTCACTGCACATAGGCTGGGGAAAAAATGTGCACAGTTGGCTCTTGCAAGCAGTGCAAGCCTGCTTCAGCATTCCAAAGCTTTTAGGCCTCCAGTACGCCCATGAACACAAAATCAAGTTATGATGAAAAAAAAATCATGAGGGAGACTTTTATTTTCCAGATAAGCAATATGAATTCGCTAGGGCAGGAGTAAAATATGAACAAAATGGTCATAGAATAAGAGCAACTACAATTTGAAAAAATGCATATATCCACGAATACATTCAACTTTATATTTAATTTGTGAATACTTATAAATCTATATTTTCAAGATATTCTATACACTGATTTAATATACTTATCGATGATTACAAATCAAGCTTATACTTTTCTTGTGGTAATGTAACAAACAAACATTAAAGACAACTCACTTTAGAGTTTTGATGAAATGTAATTGACATTAGATAAATTGCATAGATGGATATAAAGTCTGTGACCTTTCCTCAACTATTTCTAGCTTTTTAAAAACATAGAAATATTTTATAGAAAATATATATTGTTTTAATTCAAATACCAGCTATACTTGAATAAAACTTTATTGTCTTCACTTATGATATTGCATTATGATGTAACCAAAACATCCCAAAGCAGTCATACTGTGTAATTAATATTAAACTGTGTCTTACACCTATGCCAAGAAGCATTTTCGATGTCTTCAAAACTAAAATTAATACTTTGTAATCAGAGGGGCTTTTCCTAGGAGCTTAGAATGTCTTATGCATTTTGTGTCATTAATTCTTTCAAAATTCATGGAAGCTGGAAGACAGTTGTATCATCACTGTATACTAGAATAATTAGATCAAAGGAGAGTTGTGACTAATACTGAGTATAAGTTATATACTCAAAGTGGAATACTCGGTACTGTTGCCAGAATTTAGGGGCCTTCCCATTAGTACCAGGAACAGATGGAACTAATAGAGGTGAAAAGCAAAATAAGTATATGTCCTCTAAAGGAGACTATTGCTCTGGTCTGCTATAGCAGTAGGGAGTGAGTACTCATTGTTACAGGACAGAATAAAATGGATAACATTTGGAGAAATATCTAAGGTAGGTGACGGGTTGATGCATGCAGCATGTTCTGCACATGTAACCCAGAACTTAAAGTATAATTTAAAAACAAAAGTATAATAGGTAGCTTTATTGAATTCATAGATGATCTGCTCATTAAAAAGCTAGAAATGATCACATAAATTTGAAAATTCAATTCATATTTTGACTTTCAAAGATAAAAAATATTTATTGTAAAAAGAATAGAATAAGTTATCTTCCTTCATATTCACTTTAAAGTTAAATGTACATTTATCTACTGACTAAAGCAAGAAGCAAGGAACTAAAAGCATTAAGCTATTTAGTTAACTATTTTTCTCTCTCTCTGTATGTACACACACACACAAATATGTACACATATATATACACATATATATGTACATACACACACAAATATATATACACATATATGTATATATACACATATATATACATTTGTGTGTGTGTGTGTGTGAAAAAAGTGAACTGAAGGGTCTATTAATTGTTTAGTAACACTAGATAATAGTAATATCTATTATCTGGGTAAAATATTTGTTGTTTTATCGAATCTCTAGTTTAGATTAGTACACTAGTTATTTCGCTTTGCCTTTTTATATATAGTTTATTAGATTGATAACGTAACTGTATATATATATATATATATATATATATATATATATATATATAAATAATTCAATGAAAACAACCCTGGAATAACTTTTCCCTTAATTATCCTGAATAGACAAAAAAAAAAAAAAACAGGCAAGCAAGTAAACAAACAAACAAAAACTATCTTGGCACCTTTTACAATATATTAATTACTCAATGCACACTTTCCCAATTATCCACCATGTCTTTTAACCAGTGGGCAGAAGCATTTCTATGGAGAAAAAAGAAAAGAAGTGTCTGCCCAACAACATTCTGATTCTAAAATTGTGCAATGTGTATGACTGATATTCATTATCATTATGCATTGAAAAATTGCCTCACTAAGTGCTGCATCTATATATTTTGAGCATAAATTATAGAAGCATTAATAGAAGATATGCAAGAGCACTTACTCCAAATTATGTCTTTTTGCCAAAAATGAGACACTAAGTGCATATTACCTAGTACTATTGAATATTTGCTCAAATTTCTTAAAAGAAAACTGTTTAAATTAATACATTCTTTTAAAAACGTCATTGCTGAAAATATTTTGTTCTTCCTATGATGCACTTTTTCTAAATAAGTCTAATAATTTATTGCACATAGAGTTGACTTTCCTTTAAAATAATGAGGAAAAAATAAATGAATGATAGATATTTACATGTAGAATTGGTAGCTGTACTTGTGAATTAAGAGTTTTCAGTGACAATTGCTGTAATGAACAAACAGTAAATTCTTTGGATCTGTCATAATTCACTAGGTTAATAATCTGCTTTTGATGCCTCCCTAAATATGTATTAACATAAAATATTGCAATAACTATAAAGAGAAAATCATATCAAATAAATTTACAATATATATTTGAAGAGTCTTCATCGGGTAGAATGTATTGTATCAGTTTTAAAGCATGTCTTTCAAGGATGCTTTCAAATATAAAATTGTTTTAATTTGAAAAAAGTGAACTGAAGGGTCTATTAACTGTTTAATAACACTAGATAACAGCAATATCTATTATGTGGGAAAAATATTTGTTGTTTTATTGAATCTCTATGTAGTTTAGATTAGTACACTAGTTATTTCACTTTGCCTTTTTATATGTAGTTTATATTGATTGTAACTAATAATATAAAGGAATAAAAGCAATCATGTTGATCAACTTACATTTTAATACCACAAAAAGAGCTCCAGAATTAATGTGTCAACAACATAGATAAATGATGCATACATTTATAGACCTATGATTGGAATCATGTTTATTTTGCATCTATTTCTACATCATAGGACTAATCCTGCTTTTATCTATTGTGGCAAGCCCAT
Organism: Homo sapiens; assembly: GCF_000001405.40. Classification (NCBI taxonomy): domain Eukaryota; kingdom Metazoa; phylum Chordata; class Mammalia; order Primates; family Hominidae; genus Homo; species Homo sapiens. The sequence continues at coordinate 66,665,358 of NC_000006.12, read as the reverse complement.
ATTAAATACGAGCTCTGTGCTTGGATGGAAAAGAAGTCAGGCTGAATTGCAGTTAGCTTTGCCTATTATGAACATATTCATATATATATATATATATATATATATATATATATATATATGTTCACATATATATGTGGTTTAGCAAAAGCTAAACCACAGAATCTTAGCTGAACATGCATATCATCACAATTTTTGATAGCTTTTATATGTTTGCACTTTTATAACTTCTATGAATAGTTGTTAAATATTGACAAATTTTTTCAATTATTTTTAAGTGAAATGTTGATTTTTTCACTTTTGTATTATCAGAGCCTATTATACCACCTAGTAAATAGTAGACTATAACTGTAGTTTCATTTCAATCCCTATTTCTGTCTATTATGAATTCCAGAATATTTACATTTTATTAACGGAGTGTAATATAGAAAAACGTATGCAGAAATCAAAATGTCTTAAAAATAAGATTATTCGCATCACAGTATTAATACTAATAATAATAATTAAAGACCAAAAGTAATTCATCATATTATGCAATCCTTATAAACTTGTGAGATAACATTATTATCTCCATTTTATATATGAAAAGTTTAGAACTCAGGAAATTTAGTTGGATTATGTACATTAAGCAGCCAGGAAGTAAGTCATAATTTCAAGTAAGGTTCTTCAACTTCTAAATGCTTGCTTTTTAAAATATGTCTAACTGATGTTTATAAGGAAAGAAATTTTCTATTAAATAATTTATTCCACTATCTAAATTAAATTTTCTCATCCAAGTAAAGACATGAGTTTTATCTCTGAACTAAATTTATTTGTCCACAGTTTGATCAGTAAATGAATTTCCTTACCTCCACCAGATCAAAAATGTAAAAAGCCAAATACCCAGTGCCAAGAATTTTTAGAATAGAATATTCATCTGTAGAACATATATCTATTCTTCTATGATTTATAACATCACTATCTTCTTAAATTACTTTAAAAATTTATACATTTTTAATTTGAAACACTATTGTTTTATTCGTCATTTACTCATGAAAATTTTGCTGAGTCGACAATTATAAAAGAAGAACGTTACGGCCATCTCAAGCTAGATGAGTCCTGACCTGCAAAGCAGCTGAGAGGATTTGTAAAACTTGAATACAGATTTAATACTTGAGAGAAGACCAAATAAAATAGATCTCAGAGTTCAATTAAAAAGCATGATTATATTTTTCTAAATATAATTATTTCTAAAATAACTAAGTCTTATTATAAATGCTTACCTTACACTATGTATACAATTTATGTTAAATAATATTTTTCAATAAACTCTTGAAAATAAATCTATGTGGAAGGAGTTTTTTTTTTTTTTTTTTTTTTTTTTTTTTTTTTTTTGAGACGGAGTCTCGCTCTTTCGCCCAGGCTGGACTGCAGTGGCGCTATCTTGGCTCACTGCAAGCTCGGCCTCCCTGGTTCAAGCCATTCTCCTGCCTCAGCTTCCCGAGTAGCTGGGACTACAGGCGTCCGCTACTGCGCCCCGCTAATTTTTTTTTTTTTTTTTTGTATTTTTAGTAGAGACGGGGTTTCACCGTGTTAGCCAGGATGGTCTCGATCTCCTGACCTCGTGATCCGCCCGCCTCGGCCTCCCAAAGTGCTGGGATTACAGGCGTGAGCCACCGCGCCCGGCCGAGGAATATTCTTTATGAATATTCTTTTTTAAATTTACAAATAAGTATTTAAGTAATTATTATCCTTGGTCTGGAATACTATGGGATTTGGGTAGAGTCATATTGTCATAGAATGTAGTCCTAAAACTAGAAATTTTTTCTGGTTAACACTTTTCCACATCAGCTGTCATTTGTAATCATTTTCACACTTGGCAGTTTTGCATCCTGTCTTCCCTGAAAGTCTTCATTCAGAATATTCATGGCTTTTTTCCAGGGAGAAAAAAAATCTAATTTTTGTTCTACTTTAAATGCTTTCCCTCATATACATGCATGTCTGTGCTAGTCAATAGGTCTAATTTTCCCTTTAGAAGCCAATGAGCTGCGCCTGTCAGTATGATCCATTAGAATGTGAGGAATGCTGATCAACACAGCAAACAGACTCACTCATTTGATGTTTTCCCATTCTGCTAATACTCAGCATTTAACTGACATCAGCATCGTGTGGCAAAATTGCTTCCAGCCTCATTTAAACAGCTGCACATTGGAAGAGGGCTAAATGATGGGCTTTAGAAAGTTGGTGAGGCTTAATTTTGAAGATACATAAATTAACCTGGAGAAAAACCAGTGTTAGAAATACGATTCCTGTTTATCCTGTTTACTGTTGCTTGAGCTGAAGAAAATGGGTTAAAATAGAGTCTGATGAATGACGCACAGCATGATTTTGTTCAACCCTATGGCTTCAGCCAATAGGCTCTGACCTTCCACCTCAGGGCTTGCAGCCACTGTGATTGATCTTCTTAGGCGAAGGCATTTGAAAGAACTCTTTGCCATGCACTTATTTCACAGCCATGCCACATACACAGACAATGCAACATCCACTGCTGTTTCTTTTTCATTGATGTTCAACTGTCTCTTTTTCTTTTTTCTTTATTTTCCTCGCACTAGTGCCAACCCACACAGATTCCATTATCATTGTTAAAAATTGCCATTTTTGAATGTTAGTAGTAGCAGCATTTCTTTGTTCTCAAAACATCACAAAAACACATTTATATTGCAACATATGTCAAATCAGAGGAAACTGAGAATACTACTGAGAAGTCAATTTGCAACATTATTGAGATTTTTCTTTTAATAAATTCTGACTTTTCAACATGCTTATCAATTTTCACAGCCTGAAAAATAAATTTTGACTGTAAAATAATAACAGTGTTGAGATGATTTTCTCAAAAGTTCACCAGAATTTTTTTTGGTAACATCTTTCAAATATTTCCCCTTTAAAATCTATTTAAAATAAAAAAAAAGAGCTTTCTTACAGAGCTCTCTGCAGTGCTAAATGCTCCATCTAGTGGCATAATTGAACCCTGGTAAAACTTAACTATACTTGAAATAAAGTTTGTTTACCTTATGGACTCAATGAGGTTTGTTGTTAAGACAAAGGTGCTGAGAAATACAGTTTCAAAATATATGAAATTCATATATTCCTTACTTATGAATATTTTATTTGTAATATCCTAACATTTTACATTATAAATAATTATACTATTAATTTATTTAATGCATTTAAACAGAGTGATGAGATATTTTTACTAGCAACCTGAAATAACAAAATAGTGGATATTTATGTAAATAACATTTAAATAAGGTTTATATGGATTTAAGTTCTAAAAGTGAATTAATTCAAACATTTTTAAATGACAAATATTTTAAATATAACATTTACCATATATCATTGGTCTTTATCAAACTAAACTTTTCCCTTAAATGTAACCATAATTTAAAATTAGTCACTAGTTTAATTTTGTTCATGACTCCAACATATAATTATCTAAGTCAGGGATAAGCATAATTTTACTCCAAAGGGTCAGATTGTCAACAGTCAACAAAGAGTTGACTTTGTGAGTTCATAAAATGTATTCTTCTTTACTTTATTCCTGTGGTGATTATTTTGTAACATTAAAAATAAATATTTAAAAAAAAAATTCATAGTTCTTGGGCTGTAAAAAAACAGCTGGGGCTATCGAAAACTACACAAGCCATAGTTTGCCAACTCCTAGTCTAATTTATTATGTTTCTAATATAATTACTTTTGTGACCGTTCAAAAAATAATGATAAATTAACATTATTGTATTATTTCATTTGGTTTCTATTTCAAAAATCATTATTGGGATGACTATGTAGTTGTGACAATCTTATAAAAGAAAATTTTAACGTTGCATTCTACAGAGTACATAACTTTTTAAATTTAGAGCGCCAAGATACCATGTTGGGTAACATGACAGAAAGTTGTCAAACTTAAAAGAAAACTGAAACACTTATAAATAAAGTTTAAAATAATACTATGGCATTAGGAAGAATAGGTCTTTTGACCAATAAACAGGTACAGACAGGTGTGTTACCTCATGCCTATAAACTCAGCACTTTGGGAGGTCAAGGCAGGAGGATTTCTTTAGGCCAGGAGTTCAAAACCAGCCTGGTCAACATAATGAGATGCTGTCTCTACAATAGAAAAATTTAAAAATTAGCCAGGCATAGTGGCAGGCACCTGTAGTCCCAGCTACTCAAAAGTCTGTGGTGGGAGGATTACTTGAGCCCATGAGTTTGTGGCTTCAGTGAACTATGATCAACTCTACTACAGTCCATAAAAAAAAAAAAAAAAGTCTAAGCTTTTGTTTAGGAAATTATTAGTTTGTGAGAGTTACAATAAATTTTACCTCTTTGTATGTAAAAAAAGTTCTTCACATAGTTGTGCACTGCACAGAGGTCATAATGATTTTTAGTTTTTCTGAGTACTAATGATAGCATTTTCTTGACCTTAAGGTCAAGCATGGTTATGTGAATTGTTTTGTTCCAAAAAAAATATGAGTAGAATTGAATTATGCCATTTTTGAATAGAAGCTGTCAAGCTAAAAACAAACAAAAGCCAAAAAATAACCAGGTGATGTATGACAAATCCATTTGTAACTCTAATATGGAGAACTCAATTTGAATGGATTATTGCAGAGGGAGGGGTGAACAGTAGAAGGGACCATTGCAATAGGAGGATGGAAATTATTGCAATAGGGAGAACATTCAGACCATAAGATATGAAAGTGTCTCAAAGGTTAGACATTACCTTTTCTTTTAGACGGAGGAGTAATGAGGCTAGAAAAAAAGAAGTGTTGAAAAATAGAATGTATTAGAGTTGCATGATTGGATAGTAGATTCAAGAATGTTTTACCCTGGGGCCAGTTTATTCTTCTTAGGGACTTTTAAGGAGAGGTTGCATCCTGGCTCAGGCTGAGGATGTGCCAAAGCTGGGGGAAGGAGAGACTCTTTAATCAAAGTTTGGCTAACAAGCATTATGTCTCAATTGATCAGTGGGGACAAGTAGTTCAGCTTACCATTTATAAAGTATAAAGAATGGGAATGTCGAGGATCAGTGTCTGACTTTGTCAGAGTTAATGATGGGGCTATATCTAAGTTTCATCTAAATTGTGCAGGGGAAGGATGTTTCTTTGCATTATGCTGTTTCCTAGAACACAAAGAACAGAGGATTTCTTCAGCTGCCCCTGTTTCCCAGAATGGCAGTGATCAGGTAAAATTTAAAATTGTCACAACATCTAATTGCCAGTGCCATAAAATTGTGGAAGTTCCTTTGTTCCAGTGGTCCTACAAGATTAAGGATATCTGATATACAGAAGCAACACCTGAAGAAGCATGCCTAAATTGGTTCTTCAGACTTGTAATAAATTTGAAATGAGAGTACAATATAGCTTTGTTCTTCTAAGTCACTAAAATTTTAGATCTTTCTTGTTATCACTAGGTTTATGTTGCCAGGCTTATGGAACCTCACATAATATAACTCAGTTACTCTGTTCTAACTCTTAAAGTCAGTTAGGGAGCAATCAAGGGACTTATTAGTTAATACTATTACTGCTATGATTAGGATAACTATTTTACATTTACTCATTGATTGATCATTCTACTCAATCTCCTTATTATTGAATCATATTTTATATGTTTATAAAACCAAAAAAAAGCTTCTGCAAACTTACATATATGTATATAGGTGTATATATACACCTATATACACATATATATATACATATATATTTATGAAGATTGTATAAATGAAAAACTCTGAGAAATAATACAGTTATAAATAGTTTATTTGAATAAGATGCAATTCATTAATTGGGAAACACCAAGCTGAAAGAAGATTAGTATTCCCTTGACAAAGCATCAGAGGCAAGTATTTATTGGGTGAATGAGAAAGCAAAATAAAGAAATTATTTGATTGGTTGCAATTACAAAATTGTTATTTTGGGTTCTCCTTTTTGAAAAGTCTATGGTCACATAATCATGTTAGTTGACTTCTTATGATTCGCTGAGGTTAAGTTTTGTTTCTGTCTAAAGTAAGCATTTACCAGGAATGCCCTATAAAGTTTTGCTCATGTTCTCAGTTTAAGCATGCTTAAGGCTCTTTATAAGACCTAGGTGGTGAGGTCAGGAGTTTGAGACCAGCCTGGTCAACATGGTGAAACCTCATTTCTACTAAAAATGCAAAAATTAGCCTGCATGGTGGCAGGCGCCTGTAATCCCAGCTACTAGGGAGGCTGAGGCAGGAGAATTGCTTGAATGTGGGAGGCAGAGGTCGCAGTGAGCCAACGTCCTGCCATTGCACTCCAGCCTGGGAGACAAGAGCCAAACTCCATCAAAAAAAAAAAAAAGACGTAGGTGGTTTTGTTTGCTCAGGAATTTTTCAAGCTCAGCCTCCATTTCTCCATTTTAATTTTGCTTTAACAGTTGAGAATAAAATTTGAAAATGAATAGATGGTGCTCCACAATATCTTTTTCTTAGTATTTTCTTATGCACCATCCCCATTGAAAGGGGCAAAAATATATGTGTTTCTGATAGCTGTGATGATCCAAAGAAGCTATAGCACAATATTGAATATTCACTGAATTAGTGTGTGAGGATTATAATTTCTGTAAAATTTCAGTATAGAAAAGAATGGAGGGCTCTGTTCTATTTAATTTAGCCTTGCTAGGCATAGTTTCATAATCTTCTTAATGCTTTATTAAAAAGCATTTACAAATATGGTTATGTACAATACTAGTGATGTACTTATAATGTACAAAATAAGAACTAGTTCAAATGTAAGCACTCTGGACTTCTTTAAAATGGAGAATTTGGTTGCCAAGATATAATTCTACAAGCATATTTCTTTTTATGAAAATTATAAGCACAAAATTTAATGTTTAGTATTCTTGAGAGAGGAGTATTCATCCAGATAATTTTTAAAATACAGATTTTATCCAAAAACATTGAAGAATGGGGAAAAATTTAGGCATATGTTTACTATTTACATTTTTTGAAAGATGTTTTCTGACTTGAAGATACACATAATGTCTCTATTTATTGAAAATGAAGCAACTGATTTTATGTGGGAGCAGAGATACCTGAACCTGTTCAAGAAAAATAGCTCAGATTAATCTAAAAAGTTCATAAAATGCTAAAGTTTGCATGTTTAAATATATTTTAAATTACAAATAATGCTCTGTATATGATGATATAATACATGTGTGATGCAAGCACACATTTATTATTCATTAATAAGATAATCTAAAAATAAAAAATCACGATAAAAATTAGATATTTTTTAAAAACAATACTTGCAAAATACACTTTCATTCACATGGACAATTATACTGATGTCCTGGCCTAAATGAGAAATTGTATCATATATTTTCTTTTCCATAAGTGAGAATAATTTGCATCTTACATTTGCTAAGGAGTGCTTGACTTCCAACTATGTGGTCAATTTTGGAATAACTGCAATGTGGTGCTGAGAAGAATGTATATTCTGTTGATTTGGGGTGGAGAGTTCTGTAGATGTCTATTAGGTCTGCTTGGTGCAGAACTGATTTCAATTCCTGGATATCCTTGTTAACTTTCTGTCTCGTTGATCTGTTTAATGTTGACAGTGGGATGTTAAAGTCTCCCATCATTATTGTGTGGTAGTCTAAGTCTCCTTGTAGGTATCTAAGCACTTGCTTTATGAATCTGGGTGCTCCTGTATTGGGTGCATATATATTCAGGATAGTTAGTTCTTCTTGCTAAATTGATCCCTTTACCACTATGTAATGGCCTTCTTTGTCTCTTTTGATCTTTGTTGGTTTAAAGTCTGGTTTATCAGAGACTAGGATTGCACCCCCTGCCTTTTTTTTGTTTTCCATTTGCTTGGCAGATCTTCCTCCATCCTTTTATTTTGAGCCTATGTGTGTCTCTGCACGTCAGATGGGTTTTCTGAATACAGCACACTGATGGGTCTTGACTCTTTATCCAATTTGGCAGTCTGTGTCTTTTAATTGGAACATTTAACCCATTTACATTTAAGGTTAATAGTGTTATGTGTGAATTTGATCCTGTCATTTTGAGGTTAGCTGGTTATTTTGCTCATTAGTTGATGCAGTTTCTTCCTAGCAACTTGGCGTGTTTTTGCAGTGGCTGGTACCGGTTGTTCCTTTCCATATTTAGTGCTTCCTTCAGGAGCTCTTTTAGGGCAGGCCTGGTGGTGACAAAATCTCTCAGCATTTGCTTGTCTGTAAAGTATTTTATTTTTCTTTCACTTATGAAGCTTAGTTTGGCTGGATATGAAATTCTGGGTTGAAAATTCTTTTCAAGAATGTTGAATATTGGCACCCACTCTCTTCTGGCTTGTAGAGTTTCTGCTGAGAGATCAGCTGTTAGTCTGATGGGCTTCACTTTGTGAGCAACCCGACCTTTCTCTCTGGCTGCCCTTAACATTTTTTCCTTCATTTCAACTTAGGTGAATCTGACAATTATGTGTCTTGGAGTTGCTCTTCTCGAGGAGTATCTTTGTGGCGTTCTCTGTGTTTCCTGAATTTGAATGCTGGCCTGCCTTGCTAGGTTCGGGAAGTTCTCCTGGATAATATACTGCAGAGTGTTTTCCAACTTGGTTTCATTCTCCCTGACACTTTCAGGTACACCAATCAGACGTAGATTTGGTCTTTTCACATAGCCCCATATTTCTTGGAAGCTTTGTTCATTTCTTTTTATTCTTTTTTCTCTAAACTTCTCTTTTCACTTCATTTCATTCATTTGATCTTCAATCACTGATACCCTTTCTTCCAGTTGATCAAATCAGCTACTGAAGCTTGTGCATTTGTCACGTAGTTCTCGTGCCATGGTTTTCAGCTCCATTAGGTCCTTTAAGAACTTCTCTGCAAATGTAAAAGAACATAAATTACAATAAACTGTCTCTCAGACCACAGTGCAATCAAACTAGAACACAGGGTTAAGAAACTCACTCAAAACCACTCAACTACATGGAAACTGAACAACCTACTCCTGAATGAATACTGGGTACATAATGAAAGGAAGGCAGAAATAAAGATGTTCTTTGAAACCGATGAGAACAAAGACACAACATACCAGAATCTCTGGGACACATTTAAAGCAGTGTGTAGAGGGAAATTTATAGCACTAAATGCCCACAAGAGAAAGCAGGAAAGATCTAAAATTGACACCTTAACATCACAATTAAAAGAACTAGAGAAGCAAGAGCAAACACATTCAAAAGCTAGCAGAAGGCAAGAAATAACTAAGATCAGAGCAGAACTGAAGGAGATAAGAGACACAAAAAACCCTTCAAAAAGTCACTGAATCGAGGAGCTGGTTTTATGAAAAGATCAACAAAATTGATAGACCGCTAGCAAGATTAATAAAGAAGAAAAGAGAGAAGAATCAAATAGACGTAATAAAAAATGATAAAGGGGATATCACTGAGAGGTGACAGCGTGCTGGCAGCCCCCACAGCCCTTGCTCTCTCTCGGCGCCTCCTTGGCCTTGGTGCCCACTCTGGCTGCACTTGAGGAGCCCTTCAGCCCACCGCTGCACTGTGGGAGCCCCTTTCTGGGCTGGCCAAGGCCAGAGCTGGCTCCCTCAGCTTGCGGGGAGGTGTGGAGGGAGAGGCACAGGAACCAGGGCTGTGCACGGTGCTTGCAGGCCAGTGCGAGTTCCACATGGGCATGGACTCCGCAGGCCCCACACTCGGAGTGGCCAGCCAGCCCCGCCAGCCCGGGGCATTGAGGGGCTTAGCACCTGGGCCCACAGCTGCTGTGCTCAACTTCCTGCCAGGCCTTAGCTGCCTCCCCACGGGGCAGAGCTTGGGACCTGCAGTCCGCCATGCCTGAGCCTCCCCCTCACTGTGGGCTCCTGCACAGCCTGAGCCTCCCTGAAGAGTGCTGCTCCCTGCTCCACGGCGCCCAGTCCCATCGACCACTCAAGGGCTGAGGAGTGCAGGCACATGGCACAGGACTGGCAGGCAACTCCACCTGCAGCCTTGCTGCAGGATCCACTAGGTGAAGCCAACTGGGCTTCTGAGTCTGGTGGGGACTTGGAGAACATTTATGTCTAGCTAAGGGATTGTAAATGCACCAATCGACACTCTCTAGCTACTCTGGTGGGGACTTGGAGAACCTTTGTGTCAACACTCTGTATCTAGCTAATCTAGTGGGGACGTGGAGAACTTTTGTGTCTAGCTCAAGGATTGTAAATGCGCCAATCACTATCCTGTCAAAATGGACCAATCACCTCTCTGTAAAATGGACCAATTGGCTCTCTGTAAAATGGACCAATCAGCAGGATGTGGGTGGGACCACATAAGAGAATAAAAGCAGGCTTCCTGAGCCAGCAGTGGCAACTCACTTGGGTGCCCTTGCATGCTGTGGAAGCTTTGTTCTTTCACTCATTGCAGTAAATCTTGCTGCTGCTCACTCTTTGGGTCCACAACTGCCTTTAAGAGCTGTAACATTCACCGCGAAGGTCTGCAGCTTCACTCCTGAAGCCAGCCAGACCATGAAACTACCAGAAGGAAGAAACTCCGAACACATCTGAGCATCAGAATGAACAAACTCCAGACACACCGCCTTTAAGAAATGTGACACTCACTGTGAGGGTCTGCAGCTTCATTTTTGAAGTCACTGAGACCAAGAACCCACAAATTCCAGACACATCACCACTGATCCCACAGAAATAGAAACTACCATCAGAGAATACTATAAACACCTCTACGCAAATAAACTAGAAAATTAGAAGAAATGGATAAATTCCTTGACACATACACCCTCCCAAGACTAAACCAGGAAGAAGTTGAATCTCTGAATAGACCAATAACAGGCTCTGAGATTGAGGCAATAATTAATAGCTTACCAACCAAAAAAAGTCCAGGACCAGATGGATTCACAGCTGAATTCTACCAGAGGTACAAGGAGGAAATGGTACCATTCCTTCTGAAACTATTCCAATCAATAGAAAAAGAGGGAATTCTCCCTAACTCATTTTATGAGGCCAGCATCATCCTGATACCAAAGCCTGGCAGAGACACAACAAAAAAAGAGAATTTTAGACCAATATCCTTGATGAACATCGATGCAAAAATCCTCAAAAAAATACTGGCAAACCGAATCCGGCAGCACATCAAAAAGCTTATCCACCATGATCGAGTGGGCTTCATCCCTGGGATGCAAGGCTGGTTCAACATACCCAAATCAATAAACATAATCCAGCATATAAACAGAACCAAAGACAAAAACCATATGATTATCTCAACAGATGCAGAAAAGACCTTTGACAAAATTCAACAACCCTTCATGATAAAAACTCTCAATAAATTAGGTATTGATGAGACATATCTCAAAATAATAGGAACTATTTATGACAAACCCACAGCCAATATCATACTGAATGGGCAAAAACTGCAAGCATTCCCTTTGAAAACTGGCACAAGACAGGGATGCCCTCTCTCACCACTCCTATTCAACATAGTGTTGGAAGTTCTGGCCAGGGCAATCAGGCAGGAGAAGGAAATAAAGGGCAATCAATTAGGAAAAGAGGAAGTCAAATTGTCCCTGTTTGCAGATGACATGATTGTATATCTAGAAAATCCCATTGTCTCAGCCCAAAATCTCCTTAAGCTGATAAGCAACTTCAGCAAAGCCTCAGGATACAAAATCAATGTGCAAAAATCACAAGCATTCTTATACACCAATAACAGACAAACAGAGAGCCAAATCATGAGTGAACTCCCATTCACAATTTTTTCAAAGGGAATAAAATACCTAGGAATCTAACTTACAAGGGATGTGAGGGACCTCTTCAAGGAGAACTGCAAACCACTGCTCAATGAAATAAAAGAGGATACAAACAAATGGAAGAACGCTCCATCCTCATGGATAGGAAGAATCGATATTGTGAAAATGGCCATAACGCCCAAGGTAATTTACAGATTCAATGCCATCCCCCTCAAGCTACCAATGACTTTCTTCACAGAGTTGGAAAAAAACTACTTTAAAGTTCGTATGGAACCAAAAAAGAGCCCGCATTGCCAAGTCAATCCTAAGCCAAAAGAACAAAGCTGGAGGCATCACACTACCTGACTTCAAACTATACTACAAGGATACAGTAACCAAAACAGCATGGCACACTGGTACCAAAACAGAGATATAGACCAATGGAACAGAACAGAGCCCTCAGAAATAATGCCACACATCTACATCTTTGACAAAACTGACAAAAACACGAAATGGGGAAAGGATGCCCTAGTTAACAAATGGTGCTGGGAAAACCAGCTAGCCATATGTAGAAAGCTGAAACTGGATCCCTTCCTTACACCTTACACAAAAATTAATTCAAGATCGATTAAAGGATTAAATGTTAGACCTAAAACCATAAAAACCCTAGAAGAAAACCTAGGCAATAGCATTCAGGACACTAGGGATGAGTAAGGACTTCATGTCTAAAACACCAAAAGCAATGGCAACAAAAGCCAAAATTGACAAATGGGATCTAATTAAACTAAAGAGCTTGTGCACAGCAAAAGAAACTACCATCAGAGTGAACAGGCAACCTACAAAATGGGAGAAAATGTTTGCAATCTACTCATATGACAAAGGGCTAATATCCAGAATCTATAATGAACTCAAACAAATTTACAAGAAAAAAACAAACAACCCCATCAAAAAGTGGGCAAAGGACATGGACAGATGTTTCTCAAAAGAAGACATTTATGCAGCCAACAGATGCATGAAAAAATGCTCACCATCACTGGCCATCAGAGAAATGCAAATCAAAACCACAATTTGATACCATCTTACACCAGCTAGAATGGTGATCATTAAAAAGTCAGGAAACAACAGGTGCTGGAGAGGATGTGGAGAAATAGGAACACTTTTACACTGTTGGTGGGACTGTAAACTAGTTCAACCATTGTGGAAGACAGTGTGGCGATTCCTCAAGGATCTAGAACTAGAAATACCATTTGACCCAGCAATCCCATTACTGGGTATATACCCAAAGGACTATAAATCATGCTACTATAAAGACACATGCACACGTATATTTATTGTAGCACCACTCACAATAGCAAAGACTTGGAACCAACCCAAATGTGCAACAATGATAGACTGGTTTAAGAAAATGTGGCATATATACACCATGGAATACTATGCAGCCATAAAAATGATGAGTTCATGTCCTTTGTAGGGACATGGATGAAGCTGGACACCATTATTCTCAGCAAACTATTGTAAGGACAAAAAACCAAACACCGCATCTTCTCACTCATAGGTGGGAATTGAACAATGAGAACACTTGGACACAGGAAGGGGAACATCACACACTGGGGCCTGTTGTGGGGTGGGGGGAAGGGGGAGGGATAGCATTAGGAGATATACTTAATGTAAATGACGAGTTAATGGGTGCAGCGCACCAACAAGGCACATGTATACATATGTAACAAACCTGCATGTTGTGCACATGTACCCTAGAACTTAAAGTATAATAACTATGTATATATATATATAAAATTTGCATCTTACCTAGCTTCCACTATGAGCAAGAGAATACATTTGAGACAAAGCTCTTCAGCATTATGACCAAGTACAACTTATTCCATTAGGACAAAACTTTCCATGTGAAGCTAACTGACCCCCTGTGGATCTTTAAATCAGAACATCGACTTCATTAACTCTGCACATGAATCAAGAAAATTCACTGGTTCAGATCTGCCAAATAAGAGTAACTGTCACATTAAAAAATAATGTTTAGAACAAAATAATCTATACGTACCACAGTTAACATTTGTCTGATTTTGATATACTCACTTCATCATTTCAGAAACATGAACATTTAGCCCACCAAGACCAAAGTGGTAGGTGATCTCCCCAATGTCAACTGTGTATAACCGAGCTATGTTAGAATCTTGGACTTGGTTCTCTTCTTACGATTATTGACATTTTTTGTGATTAAATTTTCCATAAATTAATGTATTGAAATTCATTTATATTTTCAATGAGTAAAACAGAGCTATGAAAAAGCACCAAGAAAGACTTCCTTTCAGAATTTAGCAAGAATGTGCTGTAATTGATTGCTCATGAGTGATATCTGTTTTCTGCCTTGTATTCGGTCTTGTTTTGACTAGGCAACAATTTCATTCACCTTGTGCCAGGACAGAGCTTTGTCTTCTGGAGTGTGAATTGTCACAAAAAAATAATGGTTCTGTAATTCCATGTAGATGTGATTTAGTTCCCAGACACATAAAATGACACAGGGAACTAATTCATATCTACATGGAATTACAGACTGTATGCTTTGAGGTTGAAATTTTGCAAATGATTGCTCTGTTAGAAATATGATTTTAAAGGATTTTATCTTCAGTTGGTTGTTTCAACAATTTGTGTATTATGAGGCAGATGTCAAGCTGTCTTACAGATGTACTGAAAACTCCAAAGTCTTTCCATTCAACCTGTCTATAGTGACCTTTATTTTCCCCTACATTTAAAGATTTCCAAAATCAATTCAGTCAGTATTTATTGACACTCAACCTGGTTCTGCTCTAACTTGAGTGTCTCAGTTAGCTACGGGGTGTCCATTTTGTCTATAAGTTAGGGTATAATTGAACTACTAAAATCTCTATGTATGTATTTTACTCATCTTTGTTCTCCCCATAGTTGTTGGAACATTGTTGAGTGTCAATAAATATTGACCAAATTAATTACTCTTTAGTCAAAATTCTTACATATTTGACTTTAGGAAGGGTGGCATGACTAGCAGAGAGAAGGAGGCTTTAATAAGCCAGACTGACTGACATGGGCAAATAAAACTTTGGTGGTATTAGGGTGACTTATAGAAAGTGGTGATGGGGTAAGAAGAGGTCCCTCTTTTAAGGGCCAAACGAGTTTTAGAAGCCATGTGTTTATAATCTATAAACCATTATAAACTCAATATTTCTGAATTAAGTAAACATAAAATGATGAAAGAAATGTATGCTCTCTAAATGTGAATCCAGTACAAAATGCAATCCATAACTCACAGAAATATTTTATGATAGGATAAAAATTTATAATTATCTGTATAAGCATAGTTGTTAGAAATTGCATTATTTAATCCAATGACTAGAGAGCTTGGGTCAAACTTAAGCTAGCTTTAACTATTGTGAAGGTAGTAATTTGGAAGAGGTTTCATTTATAACTACAAAAGAAAGAAAAATGGATGGAAGGCAAAAGGAGAATATTGGGAGAGTGTTCTAATTTCAGAATTTCTTTACTTTGAAGATATTTCCAGGCAGACATAATAAATTCACAGTCACTGGAGACATTAGCTGGACAACAGCTGTCACAGATTCCAAAGATAGGACTCAAGCATCTGCTGATGTTTGAAATACATGACATTTAAAGAAAATATTATTGAACCCTGATATTTTAAGGTGTTTTTCATACTTTTCTCACCCATTTTGTGATTTAAAGGAATAGCATAAGGATCACAGGTTGTTTATTGAAGCATAATAATCGTGTGGTCCTTTCTAAGAGTTCTAATAGAAAATAATTCCCTGAAAGTTAGTATCTTTTTAAAAAGCATATCTAGTTCAAGACTTAATAGTCTACATATTATGGAAAGTATCAGGGTTGTCATGACAACTGGATGGAAAATTTAGTAAATGTAATTTATTCCACATAATGCAGTATTCTCTTCCTTCCTGTTTGTTTAAAAAATAATTTCATGAAAAATCCATAGTCTGCATTTAAATAGCCTGAAGAATGTCTAAAAAAATACACTCCAAAGTTAAATAAGACCTTAAAGGAAATGTATCTTATTCTGTCAAAATCTGGTACTATAGTTCTGACTTTACCTCTTTCTCCTTCAAGTCAAGTTAGTGCCCTGGACATTGAAACTAGTATGCATAACCCCAGGCTTCAATTAAGCTCAGGAGGAATTCTTCTTGGCTTAGATTTTGCTGAGCATAAAAATTAGGTTAATCTTATAGAAAGGATTCAGAAGAAAATTTGAAATACTGAAGTGAATTGTATAATTCAATTTAAAATATACAGAGGGCAGACTGAGGCACCAGAAATGTAATGAAAGCTTAGACCATAGCAAAAAGAATCACACAGAGTATATTATTATGAAAGTGTTTATTGAAATAAATAATTTAGAATTCAATCTAATTATATTCTGCGTGTTTACTAGGGGGAAAAATTTTACCAAATAGAATCCTATCATATCTATATATTTTTATCACATCATATAAACCTAGTTGACTATATCAATGAAGCCAACAAATTTTTATATATTTTTCTTATACTAGTATATATACACAATAATGAAAACTAGTAGGAGAAACCTAGATTATGGCCAGATATAATTTACACAATATAGGCACTCTTGTTTTCTTTTCCTCTAATTGAGTGAAATATAAAAATTCAGTGAACCAGGAAATGCAGATGTGCTCACATATATCTCCATCTTTCCTTAGAGGAAGAGCTAGAATTTTGGTTATGCATATACCTGATTCTTCACACAAAAATTTATGTTTCATTATTTATGAAAAGCTGAGAAGTATAAGATTCTTCCTGAGAAGTATAAGATTCTTTATAATCTATGTGAAACTTTTCAGTTATTCTACACTGACTATCTTAATTCTGCCTATTCTGGAATAGAGAAAAATAAATATAATAAAGTGGTTTTGTATCTGACAAGAAGAAAATATATAGGTTTCTATGAAATATTTATAAACAATTAAATTTCTATGATAGATTATTAAATAGTATACAGTCATTAAATATCAGGTAAATTGTGATTTTCTCTGTAGTGTTTGTAGAAAATTTGCTGAATTATATTAGAATGAAAAATTATGAGAAAATGTCATTTCTTTTCCACGGAGCTTTTCCTTTTATTTTTCAGGAAATCATGTGATTTAGTTGTTAAATCTCAAATTCTTAAGCCAAATTGACTGCTTTTAAATGCTAGCTCAATCATAACCTAGACATATTATCTTTGTCAAATCGTATATCTTTATATCTCAGTTTTCTCTTTGGTCAATATATAAACATCAAACTCAAGGTGTTGTTTTGAAAATTAAATGAGTTGATACACCTAAAGTCCTTGGAAAAATGTCTCAAGGCAGTAGCATAAAGGTTAGATCTTATATTTATCTTTGTTATGTACTTTGCATCAGCATTATATGTTCTGAAAACAAGAATTAGAAATGCTTTTATCTACAAATTCTGGCCGTGTCTTACCACTGAAAGATATTTATCTTTTTAACAAAACTTCTAAGGCAAAGGGGAAATGTCAGCAATATTTTTCCCTCAGCAGAAATATCAATTCAAACAATTATGCATGTACAAAAATACCTTTAGAAAAGCTAATGAAAGCAGGTGAGGAATCACAGATCACAGCACCCAGGTGTACACAGAAAAAAAAAAAAAACAAGAGGGTAGAAAGGACAGTTTTGCATTACCCACATCAACCCTCCCCCAACCCTGGGCAGCACAGACTGAAAAGAGATACCCTGTGCTTGAGGGAAGGAGAAGACAAGCATCTGACTCTTCCTTTAACCCCTACACTGGGCCTACACACATAAAACCCAGTGCTGCATAGACCTCTAACACTCCCAGACTCTAGGATGGTACCTGTGGACTTCAAGCCAATTCTGGCATCAATCTGGATTCCACAATTCCAGGCTCCAGGCCCATGAGGTGCATTTAGTCTCCAGAATGCTCTATTGCTAGGCCAACCTCAGGGATCCCAGCCTCCAGACTGTCTCCAACACATGGATAGCCCCCATGACAACAGATTTTGGGCCCATCCCAGCAACACGTCAACCCTGTTGCCCTAATTATCAGGCTGGCAGCCATGGAGCCCGCCTCCAGGCTTGTCCTTACAAATACAGGACATAGGTTCATCCAGGGTGAAGCCAGCCCATACAGTCCCTGGATGATGCTAGAAATAGTTCAGCACACCTGACATCAAACACAAGGTGGGCACCCTTGGACACAAGCTCTGGACTGGTCCCTGTGATCCTTGTGACGCCATACTGTAGCAGACCCAAGGTCCAAGCCTGTCTCAGTAAGCTCACTCGTGGACTTCTCCCCGTGAACTCAGGTTTCATGACAGCTCCTGTGTACCTAGGTCCCAGGCTGATCCCTGAAGCCCTAGGACCCAGGGCAGTCCTAGTGGCATCAGGCACCAGCAAGCACCTACGATCCTAGACTTCAAGCCAGCCCCTGTGGACCTTTGGTTCCATGTCAGCTTCAGCATCAAGCTGACGCTAGGCTGTGGAAGACCCAGAGTTCAGGCCTGCTTCACTAGGCCCATAGTTAGGGCTCACTGCAGTAAACACCAGCGCCAGGTTGGACCCTGTGGATGAAAGCTCCAAAACCATCCTTTCAGACCCAGGCCAGCCCTAATGAAGTTAAAATCCAGGCCTGTCGTCATATGTTCTTACCAGACCTGCTGCAGTGCCAGACCAGCTTTCATGGATTCTTGCTCCAGACCAATTTCATTGAACCTAAGCTGCAGAACCATCTTGGTGCTTAGATAACTCCTGCAGACAGGCTCAAGTTACAGCCTACTGCTACATCAGTACCTGTAGACTCAGGCTTCAGGTTGGACCCCACTGATACAGAATTCAGGCCTACTCTTGTGGATCCAGGCTTCAGGGCTATCCCTGCAGACCCAGTGAACAGGTCTACCCCAGTGAATATAGGCTTCAGGTCTCACCTCACACACCCAAGTACCCGATCTACTTACCTACGAACCCAGACAAGCATACAGCCACTCTGTCTGAGGACTGACGTAACAAGCTCACTCTTGAACCACACCAGATATTCTGCCTAGAATCTCTAGATGTGCTAATTAGTGAAGGGCTTTCCCAGACAAAGACATTCTGCAGAATGAAAGGAGTCCCTAGTTCTTCACATGTGCAAACATCATGTAAAGCAACAAGAAGCATAAAATGGCAAGTAGATATAACATTACCAAAAATCCCCACAATAATCTCCCAGTGGTTTACCCCAAAGAAATGAAGACATACTAACTGCCTGACTAACAAAGAATTCAAAGTAAATGTATAAAGGAAGCTCAACAAACTTCAGGAAAATACAGAAAAACAATTTAATTAGATTAGGAAAACAAACAAAAAAATAACACATTAAAAAAATTAACAGAGAAATTAAAATTATATATTAAAAATATCAAACAAAAATTCTGGAGCTGAAAAATACAATGAATAAAATAAAAATTCAATGGAGAGCAACAATAGCAGAACTGATCAAGCAGAAGAATAACTCTGTGAACTCAGAGAAAGGTTATTTGAAAATATACAGTGAGAGTAAAAAATAATAAAGAGGAATAACAAAAGCTTATAGAATCTATGAGACAGCATCAAAAACACAAATGTTGAATTTATGCATATGTTAAAAAACAGAGAAATAAAAAGAGGTTAAAAGCTTATTTAAATAAAAAATAGCAGAAAAGTTTCCAAATTTGGAGAAAGGTATAGTATAGGGAGATAAAGGTCTCCAATCAGATTCAGTTTAAGAAGTATTATACCAACACATATTATTATCCAATTGTCAAATCAACATCAAAGACAGAATTCTAAAAATAGTAAAAGAAGATATGCAAATAACATATAAGTGAGTTCAATAAGGCTAGAAGTGGAATTTTCAGCAGAGATCTTACTGGCCAAGAGAGAGTGAGATGATATTTTCAAAGTGCTACAGTGAAAAACAAAAACAAAACAAAACATAACAACAACAACAAAAACCCTGTCAACCAAAAATATTCTATTTAGCAAAGCTGTCTTTCAGAAATGAAGGGGAGATAAAGACTTTTCCAAACAAAAGTTGGTGGAGCTCACTACCATCAGACCTGAATTACAAGAAATGTTAAGGGACGTTCAATAAACTGAAAGAAAAGAATGCTAAATAGTAACACAAAAATACGTGAAAATATAAAACTCACCGGTATCAGTCAATACAGTCATATTCACTATACCTTAACAGTGTAATGGTGGTGTGTAAAACCCTTATGTCTATAATATGAAGGTTAATCTATAGTTTAAGGGATACACAATATTAAAGATGTAAATTGTGATATCAAAAATTTTAACGGTGAGGAAGGCAGTAAAGTGTAAAGTTCTTTATGTGATCAAAGTTAAGTTGTTATCAGCTTAAAATAGCCTGTTTTATAGACAGAAGAAGATTTTTGCAAGTGCACACAAAGCAAAAACCTATGGTGGATAGACTACAGATAAAAAGTAAGGAATCTAAGTGTATTTGTGAAAAAAATACGTAATTACAAAGGAAGACAGCAAGAGAGAAAGAAAAAAATGGATCTACCAAAAAAAAAAAAAAAAAGAGAACACAATTAACAAAATGGTGGTAGTAAGTCCTTACTTCTCAATAATCACCTTCAAGTAAATGAATTAAATCATCCAATGAAAAAACAGAGTGGCTGAAAGAATACAAAACAAGACCCAGCTGTATGCTATCTAGAAGAGAATCAATTCAATTATAAGGAAAGAGATTGAAAGTGAAGGGACAGAACAAAATATCTTATGCAAATGGAAAAAAAGTGAACAAGAATAGCTATACTTACATCAGACAAAATAGGAGTTAAAAATCTTAAAGCAAGACAAATAAGGTCATTATATAATGATAAAGAGGTCAATTCATCAAGTGAATATAACAATTGTAAATATATACAGATGATACTCAATTTACAACAGTTGGACTTAAAATTTTTTTCTTTACAATGGTTAAACATTGAAACACGTTCAGTAGAAACTGCTTTGAGTACCTATACAACCATTCTATTTAGTATTTTTTGTATAGTATTCAATAAATTACATGAAATATTGAATACTTTATTATAAAATAGGCTTATGTTAGATGATTTTACCCAACTGTCAGCTAATGTAAATGTTCTGAGCACATTTAAGTTAAGGTAGGCTAAGCTGTGATGTTGATAGGTTAGGTATATTAACTGTATTTTTATTATGATACTTTCAACTTATGATGGGCTTACCAGGATATAACTCTATCATAAATTGGGCATCATCTGTATATAGCCAACATTTGAATACCTAAATATACAATTCAAATATTAAATCTGAAGGAAGAAATAATCTGCAATACAATATTAGTGGGGGATTTAAATACCCTACGTTTAGCAATGGATGGATCATCCAGACAGGAAATCAGTACGAAAACGTGAAACTTAAAAAATAATTTAGACCAAATGGAACTAACAGGGATAAACAAAAAATGTTATCCAAATCAGCAGACTACACATTCTTCTCAAGCATGTATGGAACGTCCCTAAGAAGAGGTTATATGTTAGGTCAAAAAACAAGTTGTAATAAATTTGTAAATATTTATATCTCTTAAACTGAGTTAAAGATTGTCACTCAATCTGTTCCTCCCAGTCAATTTTATGTTGTGTTGGATCCGTTTAGTTATTCTAGTTAAGTTCATTTTTCACTCTAAAAAGTATCTCAATCATAAATTTCCTCATTGCATAAACATATTGAGGGAGGCACTCTGGGATCAAGTAGCTGGTAGAAAGGTAGAAGAGTCCATATCAGTAGTTCTTAACTTGCGTGCTGCAAACTACTTGGTATGCTGTCAATGGTAGATCTTAAAATTTGTTTTTGCTATAGATAAATACATACGCATTTTGGCATATTTTTTCAGGTGATACATCTAGATGAGTGTTTTAGACATGCAATATAATGCATAATCTATCTTAATACAAGCAAACACTTTGTGACAATATTACATTGGTACAAAAAAGATTATATGCTTATTAGAACCTACAAGAGGGCTGAAATGTAAATACACAAAAACCCCTCATATATGGAGAGCAAACTTGTATAAGAGGAGACGTGGAAAGACCACAAAGTAAATAATCTAACTGTAAATCTTTCTTGGTTAAGTAAAAAAAAGTTTTTCACAAACAGTAGTTTTATTTTTAACAGGAGATATTTGTGAATTCACAGTTTTTAAAGTTTTAATATATATATCTAACAAATCTTAATACATCCGGAGGCAAATATTAATAAGAACATAGATTATATATACCATAAATATAAAGAAGTTAATCAAGTAGAAATATATAAAACAGGCCGGGTACAGTGACTCATGCCTGTAATCTCAGCACTTCGGGAGGCCAAGGCGGGTGGATTACCTTAAGTCAGGAGTTCGAGACCAGCCTCCCTAACACGGTGAAACCCTGTCTCTACTAAAAGTACAAAAGTATCTGTGTGTGGTGGCACATGCCTGTAATCCCAGCTACTCGGGAGGATGAGGCAGGAAAATCGCTTGAACCCTGGAGGCAGAGGTTGCAGTGAGCTGAGATTGCGCCATTGCACTCCAGCCTGGGCAACAAGACTCCAAAAAAAAAAAAAAAAAAGGAAGGAAGGAAGGAAGAAAGGAAGGAAACAGTCAAGCCACAAAATTAGAAAATATACATTCTTTATAAGTATACGGGAGAGCTTTCAAAATTTATTAAATACTTTTTTATGAATGAACTTCTAAAAACATTAAGAAATCAGTGTCATGCAGAACATGCTCAATTACTGAAAGCTACTAACACTAGGAAATAACAGCAAAAAGATAAACAAAGAAATACATAATACAAATGCTTGGACAACACATTTTTTAAAGTAATTCAGAAATCAAAGAAAATTATGTATTAAAATTAATTTCCATGTATGAAGTTTGAATGACAAAGCCCCTCCTTTCTGAAAGCAAGAGACACAACTAAAATAGCACTTGAAAAACAAGTCTTCAGTCCTAAATGCATAAATTAGAAAAGAAGAATGTGAAAAAACAAAATGATGAGCAAAAATGTAAATCAACACATTAACAAAAAGAGAAACAAAGTAACATAAGAAAGAATAAAAATAAAAATTAACTAAATAGAAAACAAAAATAAGCAATTTTATTCTTTCAAAGTATGATTAACACTAATAAACCTCAAATCAAGTTGATCAAGGCAGACTATGAGAGAGAGAGAGAGTGAACAAGAATGGATATGCAAAGGGGGGTAGACAAAAATGAATAATATTTGGAATAATTAAGTGGAGCTGAATTTAGATGCAATATGTACTAAATAAATCAGGGATGATATTAATTATTTTATTACTTGAATGTTAAAGCTCATGTATGAATAAAACATTAAAGGTATTATTTTGGATTACCTAATAATCTAAGCAATTATGCTAAAACTAATTATCAGACTGTATAAATAATGCTGAAAATGTTTTACCAACTCCTTCTCATAATTTAGAAAAGATGTATTAATTTTTAAAAATTGTTGCTATAATCAATTGTTTTCTACCATATACATTTATATGTAGTCTATTCATTGCTGATTCAATTTCAGAGCTTGTTATTGGTCTGCTCAGGGAATTAGTTTCTTCCTGGTTCAGTCTTGGGAGGGAGTATGTGTCCAGGAATTTGTCCATCTCTTCTAGATTTTCTATCTTGCATGCATAGAGGTCTTCATAATAGTTTCTGATGGTTATTTTTGTCTCTGTGGGGTCAGTGGTAACCTTCCCTTCATCATCTCTAATTGTGCTTATTTGAGTCTTCTCTTTTTCTTTTCCATTAGTCTAGCTAGTGACCTATCTATCACATTAATGTTTTGAAAAAACCAATTCCTGACTTCATTGATCTTTTGAATGGTTTTTTTGTGTCTTGATTTCCTTCAGTTCACCTCTGGTTTTTGTTACTTTTTGTCTTCTGCTAACTTTGGGATTGATCTGTTCTTGCTTCTCTAATTATTTCAGTAGTGGTGTTAGGTTGTTAATTTGAGATATTTTTAACATTTTGATGTGGGCATTTACTGCTATGAATTTCCCTCTTAACATTGCCTTCCTTGGCTGTGTCCCAGAGATAGTGGTATGTTGTATCTTTGTTCTCATTAGTTTCAAATAAATTCTTGAATTATGTCTTAATTTCATTATTTACCCAAAAGTCATTAAAAGGCATGTTGTTTAATTTCTATGTAAGTGTGTGATTTTTGAGTGATTTTCTTTGTCTTGACTTCTATTTTTATTGCACTGTGGTATGAGATTGTGTTTGCTATGATTTTGATTCTTTTGCATTTGCTGAGGATTACTTTATGTCCAATTATGTGGTCAATTTTAGAGTATGTGCATGGGACAATGAGACAAATGTATATTCTGTTGTTTTGAGGTGGAGACTGGAGACTTCTGTAGAGGTTGATGAGATCCATTTGGTCCAATACTGAGTTCAGGTCCTGAATATCTTTGTTAATTTTCTGCCTCGATTATCTGTCTAATACTAGCAGTGGAGTGTTGACATGTTCACTATTATTGTGTGAGAATCTATGTCTCTTTGTAGGCCTCTAAGAACTTGCTTTATCAGTCTGGGTGCTCCTGTGTTGAGTGTATATATATTTACGATAGTTAGGTCTTCTTGTTGAATTAAATCCCTTACCATTATGTAATGTTCTTCTTTGTCTTTTTGACCTTTGTTGGTTGAATTAAAGGATGAATAAGTGTGAGTAACCATTTGACATAGAAACTGCCTCTAAATTCCCAATGGCTTTCTTGTTGAATTGATGTTTCAGATTCAATAAGTGAATCGTTTCTTTTAATATTAATAATATTGTTCTTGTTGAATTCTCTCTCAGCTCTTGATGATTTACATTATAATGTTATCTCTTTCTTATTCTATTAAAAATCTTTATTACCAAGTTACAAAATTCACTTATTAGATGGTCATATTTAACTAGTTGGTTTGGAATTTTAAAATGTTTGTTCATCTCTGTTTTATAATATATTGAAAAATTTTTGGTCAATATTTATAATAAAAATCAATTTAAGAAACTAAAAATATTTCAATATTAACTGCTGTTATACAAAAATATTTCATATTTTTTATTATTTGCTTTGGACTTGATAGTTTACTTTTTAAAATAATATATCACATTTCTTTATTTCTAATCTTCATTTGGTAGGTAAAATAGTGCTGTACCCCAGTGATGTCTACATCCTAATACTCAAAACCAGTGAATATACTCTAGGGTACTATAGGTGACTTAGCTGATATGATTAAGATATCAGCTGGGGAGCTGAACTTGGATTATCTGGGTGGTCACAATATAATTACATGGGTCCTTCAAAATAGGGAGGTAGAAGACGAGAATCAGAGGGATACTTGAGTATGGGAACTGATGTAAAATCGTTCCCTGAAAATCAGAGAAGGACTGGACTGAGAGCAAAGAAATGCAAAGAAATGTAGGCAGCCTCTAGAAGCCGGAAAAGGCAAGAAAGTGGACTCTCTCCTAGAGTGCACAGAATGAATGCAGCCCCAGTGTCACCTTAATTATATTCCTGAGGGATTTGTGTAAGACATGTCTGACCTGCATAATTATAAAAGAATAAATTTGTATTTTTTGATAACAGTAAGTTTTAGTAATTGATCATGGCAGCAATAGAAAATTAATACACATACATTTTATAATTTTATTAGTGTTTTTTGACAGTTTTATCACTTGTGAAGTTACAATTAACTTTAATATGTAAAACTGTCTCTTCTTATAAACATAAGTTTTAAAAACTTTGAGCACTGTTAATCAATTTTTTTTATATCTTCAAATGTTCAAAACTCATATTCCACAATTTCTGATCAAGTGAATATACAAGACAGATAAAATTTTGAACTGCTTTTGTTGTTCTAGCACTACAGAATGCTCACTAAGGTCCTAATCTTTTTTCTTCTTTATTGTTTCAATTTTCAGTTCTTCAAACATTTTTAAGATTGCTTTGCTTTTTGTGTATAGTAGTAAATGTAAAATTTATGAGACCAAAACTGTGTGAAATGATTTATTTTATGTATATAGTATAGTAAATATAAAATTTTTTTATATTTACTAAATATAAAATATAGTAGTAAATATAAAATTTATGAGACCAAAACTATGTGAAATGTTTTATTTTATATTTTAGTGTATTATCTAGATAAAATACCAGTTGTGACATATATTAATAGCAGATTGAAGCATCCAGATATATATATATACACACACACAAATATATGTTTGTAAACTTGATTTTTAGACTTCCTCCGTATTATTTTGTCTTCTACATAAAGTGCAAAAAAGTTTCTACATAAGTGTTTCTCTTTGAAATTTTTTTCTTCCAAAGTGCTAATAAATGTTAATGGCATTTTCTAATTTTTATTTATTTATATTTCTTGATAAAATAATTTTCCAGAAGTTTTATTGCTTAAAATGTTTTATACTATGAACTGTATTGATTACATTTTGTCATTAGCTATGTGATTTAAAAGAATAGTTTCCAGTCATTCTGTCTAAATATGCGAACATTATTTTCAACTTGTTATTACATACATTTTGAGTTCCATATATATTGAACATTAGCAACAATATCCCAGTAATTGTTGTTGAAATAAATATGTTGATTTAAAATTTAGTTATTTCATTCTTACTCGGACACAGTGTCAAAGGATGTTCCAGGCGTTTATAAGTTTTGTACAGTATCAGGAAAAAAAAAATCCAGTTTAAAGTTTATTTTTATTGCCCTTGATCCCTAAGATTTATGTTTGTGATATTTAAAAGGAGCAATAAGAAACTTAACAATCTTTATTGCTTTTTTTGGCCCAGATTTTTATTTCTATCATAAATTCTTGAATGTCTTTAATGCCATTTACTTTAGAATTACAATGCATAAGTAATAAAGATAAAACTAAACAAAATAGACAAAATAACTATGCTAGAGTATAACTAATGATTTTTTAAAAAAACATAGAGTTTATAAAATATGTTCGACACAATTACATTGCCTGTCATTACCAGATGAAGCTTACAGGTTAAACCACAAGTCACTATAATCATGTTCCCTTCCCTCTGGCAACACTATACAACAAACCCAGTGAAAGCAGGAGCGTCCATTTTACTTGTCTCGGACAAATTAAGTTAAGAAGGGATATATGCCATTTCTGTACATAGGCATGAGAGCCTGTGCTTTTTATTTTCACTTCTGAGGCAGCTAACGTTATCTCCAATAGCAATACCACCAGCAGCCTGGATCCCGGAAGAAGGACAGTGGTGGTGAGGAGCACAGTCCTAGCTGACTCACGAGGTACAAGGCTTGAGTTGAAAACTAATCTGTGCATTTAAAGTCACTGAAATTTTAGAGTTGTTTTAGCCACAGCAAAACCTAGCTTATTCTAACCAATGTGTGCTGCAAATTTTCTGTTATGTTCCTACAGAAGGAGATCCATTTATCAACAACCGTCAACTACCTACAACAATTAGCTTAAACTATGATCAGTCATATACACATATACAAAAAATCAGATATATAGATAATAGTAATGTATACACATGTACAACTAAGAGATATAAGAAAGGCTACTTTTTTACTACCAGATTTATAAAAGCCAAAATGGAAAAAAAATTGCCCATTAACAGTTAAATTTGTAAAAATATTGTGGTATAATTAAACATAGCACACTTTTTTGTAATAAATAAGTAATACAAACATCGGCATGGAAGAATCTCAAAAATAAAATGTTGCACAAAATGATGTCACTCGGAAGACTGAGGTTAGAGAACCACTTGAGCCCAACAGTTCAGGGCTGCAGTGAGCTATGATTACGCCACTGCTCGCCAGCCTCCAGGACATATACCAAGACCCGTCTCTAGAAATAAAAAGGATTGCAGATTCATAACATATAATTTAGTTTCTATGAGAAGTTAGAAAACATAAACAAGTGTATTACACTACTTAGGAATGCACAGAGGCAGTAATTTTTTTTTAAGAAAGTAAGAAAGCAATTACTATGAAATTCAAGATAATTGTTTTCTTTAGGGGAAATAGAGGGATATAACTTCGGAAGGTACATAGAGGAAACTTTCATGGTGCTAGCAAAATCTTATTACTTGACCGGTGTAATATTGTGCCTGTTTACTTTATCACTACTTAATATATATTTTATGATTTATGCATTATGTGCTTATGTATATGTGCATATATGTATATTATATTTTGGGTTCTTTCTGAATCCAGCATGAAGAAGAGAAAAGACTAAGTACAACTAGATATCACTTTGGCTAGGCAATAGAGTCCCTGGCTAGGAAATAGAGTTCCTATCTTAGAAGCCACTTTCCAACACAATATTGTATTAAAGAGGAGAAAATACAAATTTTGTCAGGTTAATTGCTTTTTTTGCCACAACCGTCTGTGTTCAAGTTCTTACCTCCTGTTTACTGGTATTTACCACTTAAGAACTTTATAGATTTCAATACCATTAGTACCAGGCTTGATAGGACGGCCCCATTTTAGTGAACACCAAGTAATCTTTTTTTTTTTTTTGAGAATCTGCCTTTTTTTTTTATTATACTTTAAGTTTTAGGGTACATGTGCATAATGTGCAGGTTAGTTACATATGTATACATGTGCCATGCTGGTGTGCTGCACCCATTAACTCGTCATTTAGCATTAGGTATATCTCCTAATGCTATCCCTCCCCCTTCCGCCCACCCCACAACAGTCCCCAGAGTGTGATGTTCCCCTTCCTGTGTCCATGTGTTCTCATTGTTCAATTCCCACTTATGAGTGAGAATATGTGGTGTTTGATGTTTTCTTCTTATGATAGTTTACGGAGAATGATGATTTCCAATTTCATCCATGTCCCTACAAAGGATGTGAACTCACCATTTTTTATGGCTGCATAGTATTCCATGGCGTATATATACCACATTTTCTTAATCCAGTCTATCATTGTTGGACATTTGGGTTGGTTCCAAGTCTTTGCTATTGTGAATAGGGCCGCAATAAGCATACGTGTGCATGTGTCTTTATAGCAGCATGATTTATAGTCCTTTGGGTATATACCCAGTAATGGGATGGCTGGGTCAAATGGTATTTCTAGTTCTAGATCCCTGAGGAATCGCCACACTGACTTCCACAAGGGTTGAACTAGTTTACAGTCCCACCAACAGTGTAAAAGTGTTCCTATTTCTCCACATCCTCTCCAGCACCTGTTGTTTCCTGACTTTTTAATGATCGCCATTCTAACTGGTGTGAGATGGTATCAAATTGTGGTTTTGATTTGCATTTCTCTGATGGCCAGTGATGGTGAGCATTTTTTCATGTGTTTTTTAGCTGCATAAATGTCTTCTTTTGAGAAGTGTCTGTCCATGTCCTTCTCCCACTTTTTGATGGGGTTGTTTGTTTTTTTCTTGTAAATTTGTTTGAGTTCATTGTAGATTCTGGATATTAGCCCTTTGTCAGATGAGTAGGTTGCGAAAATTTTCTCCCATTTTGTAGGTTGCCTGTTCACTCTGATGGTAGTTTCTTTTGCTGTGCAGAAGCTCTTTAGTTTAATTAGATCCCATTTGTCAATTTTGGCTTTTGTTGCCATTGCTTTTGGTGTTTTAGGCATGAAGTCCTTGCCCATGCCTAGTGTCCTGAATGGTATTGCGTGGGTTTTCTTCTAGGGTTTTTATGGTTTTATGTCTAACATTTAAGTCTTTAATCGATCTTGAATTAATTTTTGTATAAGGTGTAAGGAAGGAATCCAGTTTCAGCTTTCTACATATGGCTAGCCAGTTTTCCCAGCACCATTTATTAAATAGGGAATCCTTTCCCCATTGCTTGTTTTTGTCAGGTTTGTCAAAGATCAGATATTTATAGATATGCGGCGTTATTTCTGAGGGCTCTGTTCTGTTCCATTGATCTATATCTCTGTTTTGGTACAAGTGCCATGCTGTTTTGGTTACTGTAGCCTTGTAGTATAGTTTGAAGTCAGGTAGCGTGATGCCTCCAGCTTTGTTCTTTTGGCTTAGGTTTGACTTGGTGATGCGGGCTCTTTTTTGGTTCCATATGAACTTTAAAGTGGTTTTTTCCAGTTCTGTGAAGAAAGTCATTGGTAGCTTGATGAGGATGGCATTGAATCTATAAATTACCTTGGGCAGTATGGCCATTTTCACGATATTGATTCTTCCTACCCATGAGCATGGAATGTTCTTCCATTTGTTTGTATCCTCTTTTATTTCCTTGAGCAGTGGTTTGTAGTTCTCCTTGAAGAGGTCCTTCACATCCCTTGTAAGTTGGATTCCTAGGTATTTTATTCTCTTTGAAGCAATTGTGAATGGGACTTCACTCATGATTTGGCTCTCTGTTTGTCTTATTGGTGTATAAGAATGCTTGTGATTTTTGTACATTGATTTTGTATCCTGCGACTTTGCTGAAGTTGCTTATCAGCTTAAGGAGATTTTGGGCTGAGACAATGGGGTTTTCTAGATATACAAACATGTCATTTGCAAACAGGGACAATTTGACTTCCTCTTTTCCTAATTGAATACCCTTGATTTCCTTCTCCTGCCTAATTGCCCTGGCCAGAACTTCCAACACTATGTTGAATAGGAGTGGTGAGAGAGGGCATCCGTGTCTTGCACCAGTTTTCAAAGGGAATGCTTGCAGTTTTTGCCCATTCAGTACGATATTGGCTGTGGGTTTGTCATAGATAGCTCTTATTATTTTGAGATACATCCCATCAATACCTAATTTATTGAGAGTTTTTAGCATAAGGGTTGTTGAATTTTGTCAAAGGCCTTTTCTGCATCTATTGAGATAATCATGTGGTTTTTGTCTTTGGTTCTGTTTAGAGGCTGGATTACATTTATTGATTTGCATATATTGAACCAGCCTTGCATCCCAAGGATGAAGCCTACTTGATCATGGTGGATAAGCTTTTTGATGTGCTGCCAGATTCAGTTCGCCAGTATTTTATTGAGGATTTTTGCATCAATGTTCATCAAGGATATTGGTCTAAAATTCTCTTTTTTGGTTATGTCTCTGCCCGGCTTTGGTATCAGGATGATGCTGGCCTCATAAAATGAGTTAGGGAGAATTCCCTCTTTTTCTATTGATTGGAATAGTTTCAGAAGGAATGATACCAGTTCCTCCTTGTACCTCTGGTAGAATTCAGCTGTGAATCCATCTGGTCCTGGACTCTTTTTGGTTGGTAAGCTATTGATTATTGCCACTATTTCAGAGCCTGTTATTGGTCTATTCAGAGATTCAACTTCTTTGTGGTTTAGTCTTGGGAGGGTGTATGTGTCGAGGAATGTATCCATTTCTTCTAGATTTTCTAGTTTATTTGGGTAAAGGTGTTTGTAGTATTATCTGATGGTAGTTTGTATTTCTGCAGGATTGGTGGTGATATCCCCTTTATCATTTTTCATTGCATCTATTTGATTCTTCTCTCTTTTTTTCTTTATTAGTCTTGCTAGCAGTCTATCAATTTTGTTGATCCTTTCAAAAAACCAGCTCCTGGATTCATTAATTTTTTGAAGGGTTTTTTGAGTCTCTGTTTCTTTCAGTTCTGCTCTGATTTTAGTTATTTATTGCCTTCTGCTAGCTTTTGAATGTGTTTGCTCTTGCTTTTCTAGTTCTTTTAATTGTGATGTTAGGGTGCCAATTTTGGATCTTTCCTGATTTCTCTTGTGGGCATTTAGTGCTATAAATTTCCCTCTACACACTGCTTTGAATGAATCCCAGAGATTCTGGTATGTTATGTCTTTGTTCTCATCGGTTTCAAAGAACATCTTTATTTCTGCCTTCATTTCGTTATGTACCCAGTATTCATTCAGGAGCAGGTTGCTCAGTTTCCATTTAGTTGAGCAGTTTTGAGTGAGTTTCTTAATCCTGAGTTCTAGTTTGTTTGCACTGTGGTCTGAGAGACAGTTCGTTATAATTTCTGTTCTTTTCCATTTGCTGAGA
The DNA here is from genome assembly GCF_000001405.40 of Homo sapiens. Taxonomy (NCBI): domain Eukaryota; kingdom Metazoa; phylum Chordata; class Mammalia; order Primates; family Hominidae; genus Homo; species Homo sapiens. The sequence continues at coordinate 66,633,580 of NC_000006.12, read as the reverse complement.
GCTTTACTTCCAACTATGTGGTCAATTTTGGAATAGGTGTAGTGTGGTGCTGAAAAGAATGTATATTCTGTTAATTTGGGATGTAGAGTTCTGTAGATATCTATTAGGTCCACTTGGTGCAGAGCTGAGTTCAATTCCTGGGTATCCTTGTTAACTTTCTGTCTCGTTGAACTGTCTAGTGTTGACAGTGGGGTGTTAAAGTCTCCCATTATTATTGTGTGGGAGTCTAAGTCTCTTTGTAGGTCACTCAGGACTTGCTTTATGAATCTGGGAACTCCTGTATTGGGTGCATATATATTTAGGATAGTGTGCTCTTCTTGTTGAATTGATCCCTTTACCATTATGTAACGGCCTTCTTTGTCTCTTTTGATCTTTGTTGGTTTCAAGTCTGTTTTATCAGAGACTAGGATTGCAACTCCTGCCTTTTTTTGTTTTCCATTTGCTTGGTAGATCTTCCTCCATCCTTTTATTTTGAGCCTATGTGTGTCTCTGCATGTGAGGTGGGTTTCCTGAATACAGCACACTGATGGGTCTTGACTCTTTATCCAATTTGCCAGTCTGTGTCTTTTAATTGGAGCATTTAGTCCATTTACATTTAAAGTTAATATTGTTATGTGTGAATTTGATCCTGTCTCCATTATGATGTTAGCTGGTTATTTTGCTCGTTAGTTGACGCAGTTTCTTCCTAGCCTTGACGGTCTTTACAATTTGGCATGATTTTGCAGTGGCTGGTACTGGTTGTTCCTTTCCATGTTTAGTGCTTCCTTCAGGAGCTCTTTTAGGGCAGGCCTGGTGGTGACAAAAATCTCTCAGCATTTGCTTGTCTGTAAAGTATTTTATTTCTCCTTCACTTATGAAGCTTAGTTTGGCTGGATATGAAATTCTGGGTTGAAAATTCTTTTCTTTAAGAATGTTGAATATTGGCCCCCACTCTCTTCTGGCTTGTAGAGTTTCTGCTGAGAGATCCACTGTTAGTCTGATGGGCTTCCCTTTGTGGGTAACCCGACCTTTCTCTCTGGCAGCCCTTAACATTTTTTCCTTCATTTCAACTTTGGTGAATCTGACAATTATGTGTCTTGGAGTTACTCTTCTCGAGGAGTATCTTTGTGGCATTCTCTGTATTTCCTGAATCTGAATGTTTGCTTACCTTGCTAGATTGGGGAAGTTCTCCTGGATAATATACTGCAGAGTGTTTTCCAACTTGGTTCCATTCTCCCCATCATTTTCAGGTACACCAATCAGACGTAGATTTGGTCTTTTCACATAGTCCCATATTTCTTGGAGGCTTTGTTCGTTTCTTTTTATCTTTTTTCTCTAAACTTTCCTTATCGCTTCATTTCATTCATTTCATCTTCCATCACTGATACCCTTTCTTCCAGTTGATCACATCGGCTCCTGAGGCTTCTTCATTCTTCACGTAGTTCTCGAGCCTTGGTTTTCAGCTCCATCAGCTCCTTTAAGCACTTCTCTGTATTGGTTATTCTAATTATACATTTGCCTAAATTTTTTTCAAAGTTTTTAACTTCTTTGCCTTTGGTTTGAATTTCCTCCTGTAGCTTGTAGTAGTTTGATTGTCTGAAGCCTTCTTCTCTCAACTCGTCAAAGTCATTCTCCGTCCAGCTTTGTTCCATTGCTGGTGAGGAACTGCGTTCCTTTGGAAGAGGAGAGGCACTCTGCTTTGTAGAGTTTCCAGTTTTTCTGCTCTGTTTTTTCCCCATCTTTGTGGTTTTATCAACTTTTGGTCTTTGATGATGGTGATGTACAGATGGGTTTTTGGTGTGGATGTCGTTTCTGTTTGTTAGTTTTCCTTCTAACAGAGAGGACCCTCAGCTGCAGGCCTGTTGGAGTTTGCTAGAGGTCCACTCCAGACACTGTTTGCCTGGGTAACAGCAGCGGTGGCTGTAGAACAGCAGATTTTCATTAACCGCGAATGCTACTGTCTGATTGTTCCTCTGGAAGTTTTGTCTCAGAGGAGTACCCGGCCATGTGAGTTGTCAGTCTGCCCCTACTGGGGGGTGCCTCCCAGTTAGGCTGCTCGGGGGTCAGGGGTCAGGGACCCACTTGAGGAGGCAGTCTGCCCGTTCTCAGATCTCCAGCTGCGTGCTGGGAGATCCACTGCTCTCTTCAAAGCTGTCAGACAGGGACATTTAAGTCTGCAGAGGTTACTGCTGTATTTTTGTTTGTCTGTGCCCTGCCCCCAGAGGTGGAGCCTACAGAGGCAGGCAGGCCTCCTTGAGCTGTGGTGGGCTCCACCCATTTCGAGCTTCCTGGCTGCTTTGTTTACCTAAGCAAGCCTGGGCAATGGTGGGCGCCCCTCCCCCAGCCTCACTGCTGCCTTGCAGTTTGATCTCAGATTGCTGTGCTAGCAATCAGCGAGACTCTGTGGGCGTAGGACCCTCCGAGCCAGTTGGGGGGTATAATCTCCTGGTGTGCCGTTTTTAAGCCCGTCAGAAAAGCACAGTATTGGGGTGGGAGTGACCCGATTTTCCAGGTCCCATCTGTCACCCCTTTCTTTGACTAGGAAAGGGAAATCCCTGACCCCTTGCACTTCTGGAGTGAGGCAATGCCTCGCCCTGCTTTGGCTCATGCATGGTGCAGTGCACCCACTGTCCTGCGCCCACTGTCTCACACTCCCTAGTGAGATGAACCTGGTACCTCAGATGGAAATGCAGAAATCACCCGTCTTCCGCAGCGCTCATGCTGGGAGCTGTAGACTGGAGCTGTTCCTGTTTGGCCATCTTGGCTCAACCTCTGTAATCTTTTCTTAATTCAACCAATATTTAATAAATATTCATTATGTATAAAACATGTCTTAAGCTAAGTATATTAAGGTAAAGAGCACATAAATCACAATGTGCTCTAGAACTTACTATCTAGTCCTGGGAGTGGTAAACTTTCCGTGAGTGGCCAAATAATAAATATTTTAAGCTTTTTCAGTCACATATGGTCTTTGTTGCATATTCTTTTTTTGATGGTTTGCCTATTTTATTGTCTGTGGTTTTTACAACCTTTAAAAATGTGGGATGGCTTTTGCCCTAAAGTTCTAGTTTTCTGACCCATGATTTAGTGATTAAAGCCAGAAGAATGAGAGACCCTAAAAAATACACAGAAATTTATAGAAAAACGATGATTGACTAAATCTTTCTTACTGCTAAAAACAAAGAAACAAAGAAATAAACACAAGTTTTGTTTATACTTGGAACTATTTAGAATAGTGTATTATGTAGGTTAAAACCTTACATCTTTAATGAAATGGTACTTTGCAAATGAAAATGTTACTAAGCCAATAAAATTCTAGTTTGGATTGATTTCTCTATTACTCAAATACAATAGTGTTTAGTGAAATGATCTAGCATTTTAATATTTCAAGGAAGAAAATATGTAACTTTTACTTTCACTCTCAGTGTTAATGACTCAAAATCTGAACACTACATTATCATTACATTAGTTTGAAAAGCATCATAGAATTTTAGTGCTGAATCAATTTAACTTTATCTTTCATGATCCTTAATGGGCATTAAATGGGTGTGAAAAATGCAAGATAAACTTTGGATTTGATTTTTTACATTTGGGTTTCACAAAGTGCTCCCACACCACATTAGGTATGTCATTTTTATCAAACTTTGTATAACTATTTTCTATTACAGACCTAGGTCACTTTTCTTTGTACAAATAAGCATTTTGTGATGCCTCTAGAAAGTTCATGATTACTTCTACAAACAAAATTTTAACAATTTTATGGTTTATAGGTGATGTACAGAAATTATCATGTAAGAATGGAAGGAATTATCCAGTGGAAAAAAAACTCAAAGTGGATCTAGAGTGCTCCAATTCTAATACTGTTTAGAAATCTACTCAGTTGTATGCATTTTTTCCTGAAATATAATGTGTTGATGTAATAGCATATTTTTAAAGAATATAGTTTTAAAGAATATTCTTTATTATATTTTAATACATATATCTTTAAAGAATATGTTATATTCTTTAAAGAATAAAATTATATTTTATTTAAATTCTTTGTTTTTTATTTGTTTAAAGAATATAATATAATTAGTATATAATACTATACATTAGTATAGTTATTCCTCAGGATTGCATGTTTTTTGGTTCTTTTCAGAGCAAATATAGGCTTTCACATTAACTCCTCTCTGAAATTCCACAGACCAGTATATGTTCTCTGGCTCATTATTGTGGATCTGTACTGGGTCAATTGATCTAGGATGACACTGATGTGTTTTATTTCATATTTATGGATTGTCATGGACCATAGGAGACATTTTATGCAGAATTTGGAAGACAAAAAAAGAACAAGCATCCAGGTTTTTTTTTGTTTTTTTTTTTGTTTTTTTTTTTTAAGTTCAAAAGGGCAGTACAAAACCAGGTGATGTTGCAACTCATGCATATTGTGAGGTTTGCTGGCTCATCTTGTTGGTCTGATAATGCAGCCAAATACACAGCTTCTTCAGCTCTTACACAATCTTTTCTTTCAATTTTCTGCAACTACCCACACCACTTTCTCCAGCATGTCAACTTCCTCTTCAAAGCTGGAGAGTTTCAGAGACTAGTGCAGATTACAGTTGGTATTCATGGGTTCCAATTTATCCCTACTGTCCACTGCTTCACATTCATCTTTCCTTCCTGCCACACTCCCTGCTCTTCAGGCCCAGCATCAAAAGCGGAAGCAATAAAATACACACGTAATTGTAGATGTTAGTGACATGGTATAAGTTCAAATATTTTGTATAAATTTTATACTGTCTATCATTCCTGGTGATTCTGTTTCTATGATTGAACTCTGAATGATATACTTACTATCTTGAAAACTGCTATCATCCTCAGTTATCATTTAGCAACATTTAAATTTGCTATATAATGTTATAAAACCTAATTTTGCTTTAAAGTGTTTTTAATTTAGCTTTACATTTTATGCTGAAGAGAAAACTAATGAATAGTTTCTTAGTGGATGAAATTTTCACAGCATAAGCATTTTTTAATAAAATTGAACGTATTTTCCATTTCAAAATGTAAACAATGTGATGGATAGTCTAATAAGCTACTTCCAGTACTTTATTATATGAAGTGTGTAGCAAAAAGACCAAAAACATGCTTTGAAAAAGTAGTGTGAATATAGTAGATTCTAGGAAGATGCAGCCTGAACACATATCCCTGATTCTCTACCAAAAGGTGTCTCCCTCTCTGAAAGAACAAACCACAAATATAAGCATGCTTGTTTAGCTTCAATAATATGCCTAGGGCCTCTTTCATTCTGGTAAATGCTAAGGGATGGCCCTCATTCTCTATGTCCCAATGAAAGAACTACAAGGCCAACAACCAAAATGTTTACCTCTCATTTAATCCTGTAAAGACATCTATGTGTTTCATAACAAATGAAGGAGATCCGTCTGTACTGTTCACTTTTATGTGTTGGGGAAACAACACCCAATCTTGCTGTGATTGAAAGTCAAGGGAAATGATAAACTGAATCACTCAGTCCGTGAGAAGGGAAGTAGGTAACCTCTTACATCCAGAGAGGGTCGTTAACAAGCAGCTTTTTCTAATGCATGTCAGCTCAGAGGCAACCATTTCCCAGCCTGTGAAATGTTGTACTCCCAAAACAGATACCTGTCCTATTTGCTTATTTACCCTTGTCTTAGGAAATCAATTCACTGATCCAGAACTATGAAAACAAAAAGAATTAAGTCATAACATACTTAAAACAAATTAATCATATGAAAAATCAAGCAGCATGCTGACGGACCACGGAAGTAGTGCTTGAGGCTGATAAAAATATTAATTTAAAATAAGGAAAACCTTCAAGGCATTGTTACTGAAAGATAAAAGAAATACATTCTAACACTAAAACTCAATGTTCAAATTAAAAAGATAATAATTTACAACATTTTATAGGTTGCTAGTCCTGAGAAATGAGATCAAGTCGAATATTTCACAAAACTGAGCAGAGATGAGGGTAAATATCATGGGAAGCAAGTGGAGAAAACTAACATGAAAATCATAATCTTATATGAAGAATAATAAGCTTCTGAAGAAAAAAAAAAAACCCTGTAATGATTGAAGCTAAGTAAAAACATTAAGACAAAAGACTAGAAATTTTAGCCTGCCTGGCTCTTCAACCCTAAAATCAAGACAATTATATTAACAGTATCTACTTAAAGGTTGGTATTCTGACACATGAGAATTAAATGTGTTATTAATTGTGAAATATGTAGAACATTATCTGGTGCTTAATTTGTACAATATAAGAATAGGTGACTCCAATCATTGTGAATTCAGCTTTAAAAGCTAATCAGATATTTTTCTTAATGCATGTAATTGAACTTGAAAACTTGCATGAAACTGACAATTCTCTAGAAAATAAAAAAATTACCAAAACTGACTGGAAAAATAATAGATAGTGTAACCAGTCCTACAAAAGAAATTACGATATGATACACTCTGCCTTGATAATGTGGTATTCAATTATGAATTAGGAAACTCAAACACACTTGATAGACATAGAAATATGACAATGTTTGTGAGCCATCGAATAATTTACAGGAAAAAAAACATCTATTCACCCCTAATTTAACAGAAAACTGGGAAAACACATCAGTATATAAGTAACCTGACAGATGGTTTAATGATAGCCATGGGATGATTAAGAATCTCACAGATTCTTAGAAACCTAGAAATACCTTTGTGCACTGGTTACTAATTAGAGGAATATATGGCCAATAAAATGCATCTATCATGGACTTCGGCACAATGTAACAGTTAGAACATAACAATCACTATTAATAGGAAAAAAACTGGAGACCTAAATTATTTGTGCTTGTTCATGTAAGAGTAAGATAAAATAAGCACACCCCACCATGTCTTTTCCATTGAAGCTAACTAAAAAACCTGGACAGAATGCATAGATCAGCTATTTGAGGACTCTGAAAAGTAAGAAATATCAGGCAGTTTCAAGAAGAAAACCAGAATTCTAAATGCTAGCGAACCAACAGTTATATTTCCTAGCCAAAATGCAAAACAATCTGAAATTTTGAAGTAAGCATAAACAGGAATAACAAAAGTCCCAGGAGAAGTCTGCTAGTTCTGGCTCACTAGTAGAATAGGGGAAAAACACAAAAATGTATCTACCCTGTGTTTTTCTTCTCTCTGATCTCTCACACCCCAGCCACCAAACAATATTATGGCAATGTTGTCAAAGACTTCAATGCAATAAGAGTTTCCAGGAGCCAAACCTTGAGAAAGAAAACCTCTTTCTCTGACAGATGGTGCTGATAACATGAGGATAGGGCAGATCCTTTGAATTTGTGTTTTTCTCTCTCTGTATTCAAAGCTTAGTACTAAATGCAGGGAGACATTAAGGAAATATGCAGCAGGATAGAATAATTAAAGTCCCACCATTCAAGGTAGTGTAACAAAAAGGGGAGCCAAGCTAACTGGAAACCACATGCAGCATGGTGTTCAGAGCATAACCCCATAAATTTATTTATAAATAGTTAGGGATCTTCCCCAAGCTATGTATTCTCAAATCTGATCCTAACGATCATGCCTAAAGCCTGAAAACTTAACTAACAGAGGCTACCATTAGATTTTGGAATCACTGCGTAGCGCACACAAAAGAAATATGTAAACAGGACAACAAAGTCTTTGAAAACGGAACTGACATTGAAACCACTGTAAAAATTTGGTTGAAATTTGTAGTCTGAACTAACCAGGTCAATTCCACCCTAAAAGAAAAAAATATTAACATTTTCCATGAGATTTAAACATGCTCAGATGTCTCATAACAAAATATCCAAAATGTCCAGCATATAATCCAAAATTATTCAGCATATGAAGAACCAGAGAAATTGCAACTTAGATGGGCCAAGGCAATCAATAAATAAAAATTCCCAAATAAAACAGATATTGGAATTACCTGGAAAAGATTATAAAGCTGCTCTTATAGAAATGTTTAAATAAGCAGTTGTGAATACTCTTAAAAGAAATGAAAGAACAGGCATAGAAAAGAAATAGAATATATTTTAAAGCAAACAAAATAACATGGTTTTAAAAATCACACAGGATGAGTTCAATAGCACTTTAGATATGACAGGGAATTCTGAAGGCAGAACAACAGAAATTATCTAATCTGAACAACAGATTTTTAAAAAATAAAAAAGCAAAGAATATAACAAAATATCTGGAACTATAACGACAAAAATTAACATTCTTACTAATGGATTCTGAGGAGAGGAAAAGTGTTTCAGTAACAGTTGAAAAATTTAATCTAACTCAGTGTTTGGAAAAATATATTTGGCAGTCATAATAAAAACTTTTAACATTGTCTGATGTAGGTTTTTTTAAAAATGTGTGTAACCATCATATATGAGACAACTATAACATAAAAGTGAGAGAGTAAAGGGATCTATACGGCGATATGGTTTCTAAATTCTACTTTAACTGGTAAAATACTCTAAGTAGACTGTGTGAAGTTGTTTACAGCAGGCCTTTAAATAACATCTTTTCATTCAACTTGATTTCCTTATAATGTTGATGAGGAAAACAAAATCTACTCCCAGATGGAGCCACTGCCTAGGTAAAGTTTGCACTTTCTCCCATGTCTGTGAGGATTTCCTTTGAGTACTCTGGTTTCCTCCTACATCCCAAAGATGTGAACATTAGGTTAATCTATGTGTCTAAATTACCCCAGTCAGTGTGTGTGTGTGCACATGTGTATGTGTGTGTGCGTGTGTTTGTGTGCAGAGAAAGTACCCTGTGATAGAATGGTGTCATGTCCAGAGTTGATTCCTGACTTATGCCCTGAGCTGTTGGGACAGGCTCGAGTCACTCATGACCCCGAACTGGAATAGATGGGTTGGCAAATGAATGAATGAGTGAATGACTACAAATTAGTGTATAATAAAAATCTGTAAAGTATATGATAATCATATGCATGCACAACAATATGTGATATGGTAAAACTCCCAGAAAGCCCATCATATTGATTATATTGTTTGTTTCTGAACTGGATGGTAGTAGAAAGTGTTTTTTACAATTTTCAATTTACAGACATTTATTCTTTGATTTAACCCACCATCACTACAACTTCTGTCATTCAATGATTCACCAAAAATTGAGTAAGCAATTTTACTTGCTTTTATTAATCTTTCTTAAATGTAAATATAGCTCAAATTATTTCAATATTTAACATCAAAATGCTTATTTAGAAGTTTGGTGATGTTTTTGTAACCAGAAATATGCTATAGGAACTTATCTCTGGCTTATATCAATTAGCCTATAGTGAACCTGGTTTTGTTATATGTTGTTTTGCTTAAAATTGCAGTTTCCAAGAACCTGTTGAGAACATTAATTGAGGAGGTTCTGTATATTGTAATGTCTAAAGTGAGCAATAAAATTATATGAAGATATTTAATCAATAAATGGATAAATTAAAATGAAATATTAAAATATGTCAAGTAGCCAAAAGAAACAGAAAAGAGTAAACAGAGAAACCAAAAATAGAGTTTAAAAACACAGAAATAATAAAAGATAAACCTAAAAACAAATATATTAATAAATATACTAAATGCATGTGACATAAACTAATGAAAAGATAAAGATTGTCAGAACAGATACAAACAACAATCAAGGTTGTCAGAACAGATAAAAAAAAAAAAAAAAAACCAGAAGACATTTCCCTAAAATATTATGTCTTCTAGAAATTTATTTTAAATGTAGTGATATAGGTAGGATTAACATAAAGAAATTTAAAAAGATGTCTTATATAAACAATAATAAAAAAACTTGCAACAGTAACATTCAAAGCTGATAAATATATGCAAACCTCAATAAGAAAAAAAGGGAAATAAAAACATATAGAGAAAATTCAGAAACACTCCCAACAACAACAAAAAACCACTATGCTTACATGTTTTCACAAAGAGAGAGGATCTTTAAAATTTTCAGACAATTCTTTTTTAAAAAATATAATTTATTGCTATAAAACATAATACAAAATTAACTATTTTGAAGTAAAAATGCAGTGCCACTTATTATATCCACAATATTATGGTACCACCACCTCTACTAATTGCCAAAACATTTCCATCACTTCAAAGTAAAACTATTTGATAGGACAATCTCTTTAATAAATGGTGCTGAGAAAACTGGATATCTACATGCAGAAGAGTGAAACTAGACCCTTATCTCTCACAATATACAAACATTAAAACAAAATACATTAAAGACTTAAATTCTAAGAACTGAAATTCTGAAACTACTAGAAGGAAACACTGACAAACACTCCAGGACATTGGTCTGAGCAAAGATTTCCTGAGTAAGACCGCAAAGGCACAGGCAACCAAAGCTGAAGTACACAAATTGGATCACATCAAGCTAAAAAGCTTCTAAACAGCAAAGGAGACAATAAAGTGAAGAGACAACCTACAGAATTAGAAAAATATTGCAAACAACCCATCTGACAAAAGATTAATAACTAGAATATATAAGGAGCTAAAATTACTCAATAGAAATAATAATAGCAATTCAATTAAAAATGAGCAAAAGATCTGAGTAGACATTTCTCAAAAGAATTCTTATAAATAACCAAAAGGCATATGAAAAAGTGTTTAAATCACTAATCATCTGAAAAGTGCAATTCAAAATGACCATATCATCTTACCTAGTTAAAGTGGCTTTTATCCAAAAGACAAGCAATTATGAATGCTTCTAAGGGTGTGGAGGGAGAACACTTGCACAGTGTTAATGGGAATAAAAATTAGAGAAGTCACTATGGAAAACAGTACGGAGGTGCCTCAAAAAACTAAACATAGAACTACCATATGATCCAGCACTCCCACTCCTGTGTATTTATCCAAAAACCAAAAAATATAAAATAACATAAAATGTAATTAAAAAGGAAATAGATACATAAAAGAGCTATCTGAACTCCTATGTTTATTGCAACACTATTCACACTAGCCAATATATGGAATCAACCTGTGTCCATCAATAGATATGGATAAAGAAAATGTAGTATATATTGCTTTTGGTGTTTTAGTCATGAAGTGTTTGGCCATGCCTATGTACTGAATGGTATTGCCTAGGTTTTCTTCTAGTGTTCTTATGGTTTTGAGTTTTATAAGTTAAGTCTTTAATCCATCCTGATTTAATTTTTGTATAACGTGTAAGGAAGGGGTCCAGTTTCAGCTTTCTGCATGTGGCTAGCCAGTTTCCCAGCACTATTTATTAAACAGGGAATCCTTTCCCCATTGGATGTTTTTGTCAGGTTTGTCAAAAATCAGATGATTGTAGATGTGTGGTGTTATTTCTGAGGTCTCTGTTCAGTTCCATTGGACTGTATATCTGTTTTGGTGCCAGTACCGTGCTGTTTGGGTTACTACAGCCTTGTAGCATAGTTTGAAGTCAGGTAGCATGCCTCCAATTTTGTTTTTTTGATTAGGATTGTCTTGGCTATACAGGCTCTTTCTTGGTTCCACATGAAATTTAAAGTAGTTTTTTTTTTCCCTAATTTTGTGAAGAAAGTCAATGGTAGCTTTATGGGAATAGCATTGAATCTATAAATTACTTTGGGCAGTATAGCATTTTCATAACTTTGTTTCTTCCTATCCATGAGCATGGAATGTTTTTCCATTTGTTTGTGTCCTCTCTACAAAGCAATGATTTGTAGTTCTTGAAGAAGTCCTTCACGTCCCTTGTAAGTTGTATTTCTAGGTATTTTATTCTCTTTGTAGCAGTTGTGAATGGGAGTTCATTTATAATTTGGCTCTCTACTTGTCTAATGTTGATGAATAGGAATGCCTGTGATTTTTGCACATTGATTTTGTATCCTGAGACTTTGCTGAAGCTGCTTATCAGCTTAGGAGTTTTTGTGCTAAGACGATGAGGTTTTCTAAATAGACAATCATGTCATCTGCAAACAGACAATTTAATTTCCATTCTTCCTATTTGAATACGCTTTATTTCTTTCTCTTGCCTGAACATCCTGGCCAGGACTTCTGATACTATGTTGAATAGGAGTGGTGAGAGTAGGCATCCTTGTCTTGTGCCGGTTTTCAAAGGGAATAGTTCCAGCTTTTGGCCATTCAGTATGATATTAGCTATGGGTTTGTCATAAATAGCTCTTATTATTTTGAGGTATGTTCCATCATTACCTAGTTTACTGAGAGGTTTTAACATGAGGGGATGTTGAAATTTATCAAAGGATGGAATCTAAACTAAAGAGCTTCTTCACAGCAAAAGAAACTAGCATCAGAGTAAACAGACAATCTATAGAATGGGAGAAAAATTTTGCAGTCTACCCATCTGACAAAGGTCTAATATCCAGAATATAAAGGGAACTTAAACAAATTTATAAGAATAAAACAACTCCATCAAAATGTCGGCAAAGGATATGAACAGACACGTCTCAAAGGAAGACACTGATGTGGCCAAAAAACATATGAAAAAAAGCTCATCATCACTGATCATTAGAAAAATGCAAATTAAAACCACAATGAGATACTATCTCATGCCAGTCAGAATGGCGATTATTAAAAAGTCAGGAAACAATAGATACTAGCGAGGCTGTGGAGAAATAGGAACACTTACACTGTTGGTAGGGATTAAATTAGTTCAATCATTGTGGAAGACCATGTGGCAATTCCTCAAGGATCTAGAACCAGAAATACCATTTGACCTAGCAATCCCATTATTGGGTATATATCCAAAGGAATATAAATCATTCTACTGTAAAGACACATGCACATATATGTTTATTACAGCACTATTTACAATAGCAAAGACTTGGAACCAACCAAAATGCCCATCAATGATAGACTGGATAAAGAAAATGTGGCACATATACATAATGGAATACTATGAAGCCATAAAAAAGAATAAGGTCATGTCCTTTGCAAGCACATGGATGAAGCTAGAAGCCATCATTTTCAGTAAACTAACACAAGAACAGAAAAACAAACACTTCATGTTCTCACTCATAAGTGGGGGTTGAACAATGAGAACACATGGACACAGGGAGGGGAACAATACACACTAAAGCCTGTCAGGAGGTGAGGGCCAAGGGGAGGGAGAGCATTAGGACAAATGCCTAATGCACGTGGATGCTAAAACCTAGATGATGGGTTGATAGGTACAGCAAACCACCATGGCACATGTATACCTATGCAACAAACCTGCACATTCTGCACATTTAATCCAGAACTTAAAGTAAAATTTTAAAAAAGTAAAAGATAATGTGATATATATATGCATAATATACAAAATAATATTATTAAGCCATGAAAAAATAAAATTTTATTATTGGTGACAACATAAATTAAACCAGAGGACATTATGGTTAAGTGAAATAAAACATGCACAGAAAGACATATAACACATGTTCTCACTAATATGTAAAGGCTCAAAAAAATATTGAACTCATGGAGATGGAGAGAAGAGTAATGGTTATCAGAGGCTGGGAAGGCTACTGGTGAGAGGGAGATAAACAGTGAATGTTAATGGGCACAAAAAATAATAATTATTATTTACAATTATTGAAAATAATTAAATAAAAATAAATAAAAGATTAAAAAAAAACAAAGAAAAATCTCTTTCCTATTAGTTTCTCCCCATTCACCTCTTTCCTCAGTGGTAAAAAACAATTTGCATTAAGCATCTATGGATTCACTGATTGATTGATTTAATGATATGATTTGGCTCTGTGCCCCCATCCAAATCTCATCTCAAACTGTAATCCCCATGTGTACAGAAAGGGTCCTGGTGGGAGATGATTGGATCATGGGGGAGGCTTCTCCCATGCTGTTCTTGGGATAGTGAGGAAGTTCTCACGAAATCTGATGTTTAAAAGTGACAGTTTCCCTTGCACTCTCTCTCTCGCTGCTGCCTAAGATGTACCTTGCTTTCTCTTTGCATTCCGCCGTGATGGTAAGTTTCCTGAGGCCTCCCTAGCCATGCGGAATCTGAGTTGCTTAAACCTCTTTTTTTATAAATTACCAGTCTCGGGTCATACCTTTGTAGCAATATAAGAATGAATTAATACAGTTAGTTTATTCATTTAAAATTTTGGATAATATATTTGACTTAATCTAATATATCCAAAATATTCAACATGCAATTAACATAATTATGAATATTTTACATTTTACATTGTTTTTATGAGTGCTAATTTTTAAAATAAGATGTGTTTTTATTTTTTATTTATTATATACTTTTAAATATTGATTCATAATATTTATACATATTTATGGGGTCCATGTGATATTTTCATAAAAGCATACAATGTGTAGTAATCAAATCAGGGTAATTGTACTCATCACCACATGCATTCATCATTTTTTTGTGTTAGGAACATTCTAATTCCAGTAAGTTATTTCAAAATATACAATAAATGATTGTAAACTATAGTTGCCTTATTATACTACTGAACACTAAATTTTTTTCCTACAATCTGACTGCATTTTTGTACCCATCAACCATCCCCTTTTTATCTCCTCCTAGCCACTGCCCTTACTAGCCTCTGGTAACCATCATTCTATTTTCTATCACCGTGAGGTTTTTCTTCTGTTTTGTTTTGTTTTGTTTTTATTCATGAAAAGATGAGATATTTGTCTTTGTATGCCTGACTTACTTCACTTTTATCTATGCTGTTGAAAATGACAGGATTTTGTTTTTTATGGCTGAATAATAGTTCATTGTGCATATGTAGCACATTTTCTTTAGCTTTGGATTTATTTATTCTGAATATTTCATATAAATGAACTCATAAAATGTGTGTCTTTTTGTGTTTCGCTTCTTTCTTTCACTTAGCATAGTGTTTCAAAGTTTGTCAACATTTTAGAAGTGCCAATACTTCACTCTTTTTGTTGATTAATATTCCATTATATTTGAAATTTATCCAAAATGTCTCCAAAATGTACTTATTTGTTTATGGACATTTGGGTTATTTCTACTTATTGGCTCTTGAGGTTAATGCTGCTTATGAACATATGTGTATGTGATTGTTTAAATACCTGTTTTCACTTAGTTTGAATGTATATTTAGGAGAGTAATTGGAATTCTATACTTAACTTTCTTGAGGAACTTCTAAACTGTTTTTCACAGCAGATGAATCATTTTAGATTTTTACCAGCAATCTGTAAGCATTTTTATTTCTTCACCTCCTAATTAATATTCATTATTTTCTTTTTTAATAAATTTTTTCAATAGCCTTCCTGGTGGGTATCAACTGATAGTTCATTGTGGTTTTAAGTTGTATTTTTCACTAACTAATGATATGGAACATTTTTTCATGATTTCAGGGTTATTTGTACACATTATTTGGGGAAATATCTATTCAAGTATTTTGTCCACAATTTAATCAAATTTCTTGTTGTTTCATTGTCAACTTTTAAACATTCTTCATAGACAGTTTGAGAAACAAAAAGAAAATGGCCTCAATTTAATGTAACATATCAAATTCACAAAAATCTGTAAATGCATAGTAATACACAGAAAAAGGTTTTGTTGGGATGATCACACCTATGTCACTGAAATGGACACTTTTGCCAGGTCAGTGCAATGGATAATCCATGTTTTAAGATATTTTTCCTCATAATTAGCCACATTCCGGCATTCAAGTGGCTTTATGAGTAAAAATTATGATTCAGGGAGTGGCAATTGGCTGGGACTGTGAACAAAATGTACCCAGGATAATCTTGCACATTTTTTGGCCAAGATGGGGCTCCTTTGATAGTCCAAAACTTACATATCTGCCTGCACAATTCAAACAAAGAAATAGTGAACACCTCAGAGACAATTGGAAGCCATTTTTCCATTGATGCTTTAAAAATTCTAAATAGAATCAAGAAGCTAACATTGTCCGCCTTAGAGAAAACAATTCCAAATTCGGTGAATGGCTTAATAAAATGGAAAAGAGAAGTTAAGTTAGTGCTTGTGAGACTAAAATTAAACTGTTAAATCACCTTTAAAAGACCCTACTTCCACTAAGATCTCCTCGCCTGCTGCCCTGCCTGTCTTCTTGCACCCTTTTCACTACCTCTGCTTTTATTCATCACTCCTCCATTCCTCCTTCACTCTTTCAGGTGGTTATCTTGAAAAGGTTTCTAAATTTTCTTTAGGATCCTTTGTATGTTTCCATGTAAAATCCTGTGATAAATTTCTGTAACTGTATTTTACCTTGGTATCCATTTTAATCCTCTTTTAACCCAGCAAACAGCTTCTTAAAGAAGCTTCAGTTCTTTCTGTGCTTTGAGATGTAAATTTGCTGCTCTGTTTTCTGTAAAATTTGGTAAGGGATTAAGCCATGTGGAATAAATTTCAGCCTGTTCCATTTACAGAGATGTAATTTGAATCCAACTATTCTTCTAAACTAATGAGTTTTACCTGACTCACTGTCAAAGCTTTTAAATTAAAGCTATAAGCTTTTCATTTTTGTCTGTTTGTATGTCTATCTTATTTGCATATATACATACATATACTGTCTATGGTAATAAATTGGCTTATAAGGAAACGACTCATGAATTAAGCAAATAATCCCAAATGCTTTTCACGTTCACACGAATCATTAAATTTTTGATGATGGGAATAGTATAATTTTGGTTTTATGGGAATGGCTGTGTCTTCTGGGTTATCAACAAAACATGCATGTATGTAAGTTTCTTGCCTAACGTCAGTAAAATGAAAATAAATGGTTAATAGAAAATTTAATTTGAGATGATGGCTAGTTTTAGATGATGCCTCATGAAATTTCTCAGGCATAATTATTAAGAATGAATGGATTAAAAGGATATAAATGAGATGAAAGCATATAAATTAATTTTTGATATTGATTGTTTTGTAACATGTTTACTTGGGGAGGTTTTTCATTTTTTAGTAACTATACTCTTAGAATTTTGCTAAGCTAAATTAAAGGATGGATATTCATCAAATGACTAGATCATTTTGAGATAAGATACAATGCTAAGACACTCATTGCTGAATATGAGTTAGGCTCATATACCTTGGGCATCTTATTTCATAGAAACAAATGTTATTTGCATCTGTTATTAAAAAAAAAAGTCCTGTTCCATGCTAAATATTTGGTGTGACAGAAAGCCTAGGTCTCTGGATATTGTAAAATAGGAATTTATAGATTGCTAGTACAGGGTTGGTTGCTACAAATTGCTTATTTTCTAGGTTTCCATTAAATTAGGGTTGCTAATAGTTAACATTGTAATTACTGTGTGGGCTTAAAATCACTAGAGATTGAAAGACAGTTCTATATGCAAGTGTAAGATGTATTTTTGGTAAGAAAATTTGTAAACAGAATAATTTTGTATGAGAAAGAATCTTGTACAGTAAATTTCTCTTCTATAATACAAAAGTAAAAAACTCAAGTATGTTGTACATGGTCTAAGAAAGTTATGATAAGGTTTATGTAAATAAAGTTTATAAAAGGAATTTTCTATGTGATTAGGTTAGCTATAATTGGAAAGAAACTGTTTACGGGTCTATGAATTGAGCTTTGATGTGAGAAATGCACTGATGCAGAACTAAAAAAAATTGTCTCCTCTGTTGGATCAAGCTTTTCTTAAAATGTTAATTTTCTCTTAGTAAAATTAGGTTTGATTTTTAATTCTGAAATCTAATGTCTTCACAATCATCCTGTACAGTAAAAACAGTTTCTATTTCTGCCATATTTATTCCGGATTTCTATCTAATATTCCTAATTTCAGGTTGAAAGTGCAGCTCTCCTTCCTTCTATTCTTGAAAAGACCTATGTATATTTTTCCTTGGCTGGTGTGATAACCCTCTCATTTAACCTTTTCATTAGCTGCTGTGACTTTTTCTTCAATTCTAACTCTGCTTTTATTGCTTAATGCTAACATGTTCATCTTGAAGGTCGAGAAAGGCAATGTTTCCTCCAGTAAAACTTGATTCTGTACTGCTGACATTTCTTGATGTGTCTAAATTATTCCCTGTACCAAGAAATTTATTATGCTATTGATAAAAACTATGTATTCTCATCAGCTAAAGGTGTTATTTTCTTGTTTACATTCCTCTTTAATCATAATCCTATAAGGATATTCTTTCTGTATCTGATAAAATTCAAGTATCTTTTTCATGAGTTTTAACTTTAAGGCCATCTACATGGGCTTTCTGTAAAGAGAACTGATCACGCAGCAGAAGGTTTATTTGTTTTTTGTTTTGTTTTGTTTGTTTGTTTTTCCTTTATAGTAACTGACCAAGAAAACAAATATTCTGTTTCACCAAGATAATTTTTTGTGCTTCCTGTTGCCTTTATTAGGTTTTTGCTTACTTAGGAGAACTGAGCTTCAAAAGGGTCATGGCACTTACATAAACATAACTTTCTGTATTCCTTTTGAAGTCTCTTGATTATCACTTTGGTTAAATGAATAATCGTTTTACAGTGACCGGCGATTCTCTTAATCAAGTGCTTTGAATGTTTTCACACTTTTTGGCAGGCTTTCTCAAGAAAAGAATCTCAAACAGTCTTTCTAACCTAAAACTAACTTTGGGATTTTCCAGTTAGGCCCCTGGAGAACATCAAAGAATATATCTTTCATCTTGTGGAGATATTAAATAATTAAACTTATTTGGTAAATTGTGTAGAAAACATTGTTAATTGATAAGTGATACTAGATCCTTTCTCAATTACATTTGTAGGTATAATATGAAAATATGTTTCAAAGTTCCAGTTTCATAAGAATTCAGGTTATTAGTGATAATTTTGGATATATGAATGTGAGTATTCTAAACATTATGTGAAATTTATAAAAGTCTAATGGTTCTTATGTGTCAGCTGACTTTTGTTACATTAAAATACTGCAGGTAGTAGAGGTGGCTAAATTTCCTTCATAATTATAATTTTTCATCAGATTTTCTGGGTTTGTCATTCACAGTTATTATTTTAAATTATTTTATGGAATCATTTGCTTTATCTTCTTACTTGATTCCTCCAAAATTTAGAAATTATTCTTGAGTATTCTTATTCTATTTAAATAATTTCAATAAAAATCTGTTCTTTCTTTATAAGCAGGATAAAATTGGATACATTGGTTATATTGTCAATGTTTTGACTGAAATGTCATATGTAAGAATACGAATAAAATTCCTGGCTGAAAGAGTTCCTAGCATTACATTGAATAAGTAGAAATTGTCACTTTCTGGCAGGCCCAAGAAACTTAAGATTGTAGGTAAAAAATAAAGCCTGCCTTGGGTTAGCTATCTAGACTCAACATTTTTTCTAAATTCTGAGATTCCTATATAATCAATGTGGAGAGAAAAAGTTATGTTTCTAGAGGAAACTAAAGTACACCTGTTGTTAGGTTGTAGTCTTGTGCATTGTTTTCAGGTTCTTGTTATCTATCTGTAGACTGACTGAGATCCTAAATTCCTCTAATTTCTCACAATATTTGGCTATAACTGCATCCTGCTAGAGTCCCCTGGCTCTCTTCCCCTAAGCAAAACTAGGGATGCTTTGGACACATTCAGGGGACATTTTTCTTACTTAAAACTAACCAACTAGGGGAATTCAATGTTTTATATCTTTTCCCTGGAGTTCTGAATTTATCTGTATTGTCTGTGTAGCCAACCAACCTATGATAGTTCCTAAATCACTATTTATTCCCTTTCAACTGGGGCCCGTTACTGAAAGACACTGCCTTTTATTTGTCCTAAAGTCTCTCATATACCTACTGGAAGGGAATTCTTATAAATCTACCAAACCCATATTTTCTTCTCCCCTAAAAACGAAATAATGCTTGAGTTATCCTCAGGAGATTTTACCACAGAAGTAGCTTTTACCCAAATTTACATCTACTCAATTACCTCACCAACATTAACTACTTTTCTTTCCAAAATCTTCCTGAGAGTCTTTGGGCACCATCCAACATCAACAATAACCCCTCAGATTATAAATGTGATAGTTGTGGACACTTCCAACAATGTGATTATCATGGCAGGGTTAACCCAAGTGAAGGAAATAGATTAGGAAGATTTCTGTAATCCTGATTTGGACTTTGTCCTACTTGGAATTAATACATAATCAGAAAACGTTCCTACACTATTACCATATTTGCCTATTCTACTTCCTGAGCCATCAGGACACAAGAGAGATCCTAAGATTCGGTTACTTATGTGGTCCTAGAAAACCACATTGCACACCTGTAATCCCAGCACTTTGGGAGGCTGAGGTGGGCAGATCAGGAGCTCAAGAGATCAAGACCATCCTGGCCAATATGGTGAAACCCCGTCTCTACAAAAAATACAAAAATTAGCTGGGCATGGTGACACGTGCCTGTAGTCCCAGCTACCTGGGAGGCTGAGGCAGGAGAATTGCTTGAACCAGGGAGGCGAATGTTGCAGTGAGCCAAGATCGCGCCACTACACTCCAGCCTGGTGACAGATTGAGACTCCATCTCAAACCAAAAAAAAAAAGAAAGAAAAAGAAAGAAAGAAAGAAAACCTCATTGCATTATACTATCTCCTGGATGCACAGGGTAGTGTGTCATCACTAACACTTCCTCCTGCACCTGGGTAGATACTTCTAGCCAGATCTAATTAGAAACATCTAAGATCCTAAGGGGGCCAAATCTCTGAAATGGTCATCTTTAGAAAGTCTCCTTGCTGGGCTTACTGGACTAAATTTTCAATTTCCAGATATTTTCAGCTGTTTTTCCCTGGTATAGGACTCCTTCTGCATTCTGTCTTACAAGTCGTAATGTTCCTCAGAAAAAACCTACCAGCATGATCCTATCAGGATCCTGTTAGGATCATGCTGAACCAATACCTTGAGACTTTAAACTTACTTCAGACAGAAACCAGAAGCACCTTAACCTAAGAGACTTTTCGAATTTAAAAGGTACCTTAGTGCCTCTGGTGGGAAAATTACTAGTTGGTGAATTGATCACTGCCCTGACACAGGAATCTCTGTGAGAGATGAGATGAAACCCAAGCATGTTGTCACCCACTCTGATATCATGTTGGATGCAGCCAACTTATTTGACCACCAATTCTGTCTGATAACCTTTTTTAATAAACGGTGGGGAAATGTGAACAAATGAACCTGAAAATTCCACTCTTCAAGGTGGATCGTCAGTAGCTAACTGGGTCTAAATTTAAAATACAGTCAAGCAGCCATTTCCTGACTAAAGGTCACAGGCATACTCCAAATTCTCAGAACACACACCTCGGTTTAGGATTCTCAGTTCTTGCTTTAACAAACCAGTAAGAGCCAATGGTCAATCAGGGCTTCAATGGCCTGCCTAGGCCAATCAGGACTCAGCTCTACCAACCAATCAGAACTTCGCAGATTTGAATATTTATTTGCATAAATGAACTTGATAGGGTACAAGTCTCATTTTTTCTCTGAGACAAACCTTTAGTATACACGAAAGGCTGCATATAACCAGTTTGTAAGCTGCTCACAGGAATAAAGTCTTTCTTCCAAATTCCTTTTCAGAGAACGTTTGTTCACACAACCATATTGAATATAAACCTAGAATTCTATGTACTCTATGAAGTATTTTATTTCTACTAGCCATAATAGTATATTATTGCTGTAATTTGCCAGTGTTTCTGTATATGGTGTTTAAGAGAATGAGGTTACTTACCAAGTACTTAATTTTTTTTTTACATACAACTTTGAAAGTAAGTGCAGATACAAAACAGCCTCAAGCTATTTATATTTTATTATTTTATCCAAATCTTTTACAATTAAAATGTGTAATGTGTGATGTCAAGGTAGATTGAGAATTCATTTAGTTACATTTCCTGCTTTGATTTTTACTGAGTGAAGGCCGTCTTAGAAACTGTTAGCATTTTAATATGAGCAAAAGTGTTCTACAGGGCAATAAAGATTACAGTTCCCTACTGCTCTCAAAACAATTTAAAGTATCCTAGTCCCAAAAATATGTGTTTACTATAAACTTGTAGAGCAGTTTGATTTTTGAGAGGACATATTAATTTCTATAGGGCACAGACATACACAAACATCATTTTATTCACTTCCAATTATAACCAGTTTTCAAATGCGTTGTACCTTCATTTTCTCATTATTTACATTTTTGTTGTATGCATCTGTTTAAAAAAGTCAAAGATTTTGAGAAACAAACAAGTTCATTGAGGATTTTAAAAATGGATTACTTAATTTCCGTTCAGCAGCTTAGATGGTTGTTTTTGCTTCCAGCTTGTGTGTATTCGTGCTCCACTACTTGACTTTCCCTTTATCTATCTTCATGCCTTCTCTAGTTCCCAGATGCTAACACAGCCATGTGAATGCTGCCTAACTCAGAGCAGTAAACAGAGCCACTGTGCTTGGAGATAAATACTTTGAATATTGTACTGGCACATGTTTCAGCAAAGAGAAATATTGTCAGGTGCCTCCCACTAGAATTAATAGATGAATTTTTTTGGATCTTTTTCTCAACACAGAAAATTTCTGAGTTTAACTTCTTCATATAAGAGCATACATTTTTGTAATGTTCATCTTAATATTCCTCATCTATTTGGCTTACAAGATATTGTTTTATATAAAATTTTACTAAATATAAATTATATGACTTTTTTACATTTTATTATTATTATACTTTAAGTTTTAGGGTACATGTGCACAATGTGCAGGTTAGTTACATATGTATACATGTGCCATGCTGGTGTGCTGCACCCATTAACTCGTCATTTAGCATTAGGTGTATCTCCTAATGCTATCCCTCCCCCCCTCCCCCCACCCCACAACAGTACCCAGAGTGTGATGTTCCCCTTCCTGTGTCCATGTGTTCTCATTGTTCAATTCCCACCTCTGAGTGAAAACATGTGGTGTTTGGTTTTTTGTCCTTGTGATAGTTTACCGAGAATGATGATTTCCAATTTCATCCATGTCCCTACAAAGGATGTGAACTCATCATTTTTTATGGCTGCATAGTATTCCATGGTGTATATGTGTCACATTTTCATAATCCAGTCTGTCATTGTTCGACATTGGGCTTGGTTCCAAGTCTTTGCTATTGTGAATAGTGCCGCAATAAACATACATGTGCATGTGTTTTTATAGCAGCATGATTTATAGTCCTTTGGGTATACACCCAGTAATGGGATGGCTGGGTCAAATAGTATTTCTAGTTCTAGATCCCTGAGGAATCGCCACACTGACTTCCACAAGGGTTGAACTAGTTTACAGTCCCACCAACAGTGTAAAAGTGTTCCTATTTCTCCACATCCTCTGCAGCACCTGTTGTTTCCTGACTTTTTAATGATCACCATTCTAACTGGTGTGAGATGGTATCAAATTGTGGTTTTGATTTGCATTTCTCTGATGGCCAGTGATGATGAGCATTTTTTCATGTGTTTTTTGGCTGCATAAATGTCTTCTTTTGAGAAGTGTCTGTCCATGTCCTTTGCCCACTTTTTGATGGGGTTGTTTGTTTTTTTCTTGTCAATTTGATTGAGTTCATTGTAGATTCTGGATATTAGCCCTTTGTCAGATGAGTAGGTTGCGAAAATTTTCTCCCATTTTGTAGGTTGCCTGTTCACTCTGATGGTAGTTTCTTTTGCTGTGCAGAAGCTCTTTAGTTTAATTAGATCCCATTTGTCAATTTTGGCTTTTGTTGCCATTGCTTTTGGTGTTTTAGACATGAAGTCCTTGCCCATGCCTATGTCCTGATGGTAATGCCTAGGTTTCCTTCTAAGGTTTTTATGGTTTTAGGTCTAATGTTTAAGTGTTTAATCCATCTTTAGAGTTCATATGGAACCAAAAAAGAGCCCTCATCGCCAAGTCAATCCTAAGCCAAAAGAACAAAGCTGGAGGCATCACGCTACCTGACTTCAAACTATACTACAAGGCTACAGTAAGCAAAACAGCATGGTACTGGTACCAAAACAGAGATATAGATCAATGGAACAGAACAGAGCCCTCAGAAATAATGCCGCGTATCTACAACTATCTGATCTTTAGTTGTAGATCTGAGACCTGAGAAAAACAAGCAATGGGGAAATGATTCCTTATTTAATAAATGGTGCTGGGAAAACTGGCTAGCCATATGTAGAAAGCTGAAACTGGATCTCTTCCTTACACCTTATACAAAAATTATATGACTATTAACATAATTTGTTTTTCAGAAACAATTATTAGAGAGAACTATTCATGGAACTGTAAAATATTTTGAAACAGAGGAAGCAAGGGACTCTCATGTTTATGTATGAATGAATAATGCATATTTTATTTTTTCCAGTAAAGTATCTTTCTAATTAGTAAATTATCAAATTTATTTGCAATACCTAAAACATATTTCAGAATTTAGATGCAGCAAATCAGGAGCTTGTGAAAACTGTTATTTTATATTCAAACAGAATTTAGAAAAAGAAAAAACAGTTTGAAGTGTTCAACTAATTGGGTATCGTTATTATAATTTTAGATTCACTTACAAGTATTATAAACAGAATTAGACATGTTTTGATATCACATACATAATACATATATACATTACACGTGTGTGTGTGTATATATATGTATATATATACACACACATATATAGTAGAACCTATTCAGATAATCTATGTGTGGCCGGACACACTTATTGTCCATTTTAATTAATGTCATCACCATCCAGTCTATGTTCTTAGAGATGCTCCTAGTCTCTCAGGGTCTCAGGTTCTTTCTTGTTTAAGGGAGACATTTCACCAGACAATCTAATGTTATCAAATGAATTAAAGTCACAAGAAAATAATTCTTAATTCTTTATAAAGAAAACTTTGTAATATCTCAAACTAATCAATAATGGGCTAGGTTATTTTGTTGTTAGAATATCTTGACCAGAAATATATCCAAGGCGTCTAAATTATCGTATTTAGCAATTAAATTTCTCTTCTGATCTCATGATAGCCATTCAGTATTGCTCTATAAATGAGAGAGTTTCTCAATCCCAGAAGAGTTGGAGAGGTTACATTGTTGGTAAGAAGTCTATACTCACAATGTTCTGTGACCCAAAAAGTCTAAGATGCATTTGTTCCTCCCTGACCTTGATTTAGAAATCAAACAAAGTCAGTAAATGTACTATACCTATAAGTTCCATTTTTAAACTTCTATCAAGACAATCATCTGCAGTTTGAATATTTCTTATCACTAATTTAAAGAACGATAAAACCTATTTTTCAAAAGTAAGAATTAAAAAACAAAAAACCCTGATGGAATCTCTATAGGGAAATCTTTAGCAGAAGACATTTAAGTTTATACATTGATGGGGCAAGGAGAACTGTAAACTACACAAAAATGCCAGTTTCAGAGCAGAATAATACGGTAAAAAGATAGTTGGATGATTTACAAATGAGAAGTGAGATTAGATAATTTAGTGTATTCTAATAAAAGAGCTTCATAGACTGAGAATTAAAATTTTACTTTGTAGGAAACCAGAGAAGTACAGTCATATTTCGGTGGAAAAGATGACATATTTTCAATGTACAGAGTTGATGATTTTTTTTTTGCAAAAGCATTCTAGGTATGTACTACAAACATGATATTTAATATTCTGTGTGTCATATACTTTATTTCTAATTTGATTCTATAATCTATCTCTAGCCATGATTCTACAAATTATTTTAAATAAATTATTCTTTAGAATTGTATAAAAGTTTGAAATATTTAAAAAATAGTTTACTGCTTGACTTAAGAAAATTATATACATGGTGTTTAAAGCATATCCTTTCAGGTTACCTGATCCTAGCCTTCTGTTGTCTTTGAGTCAATTTATTATTTTGTGTAATGTAGATAATAGTTGTGGATAAGTGTTTTCTATAAACATACAAATAACATTGAGTTGGTGGAGTTTCAATTGACTTTACCACCTTTGATGGTTAACGTTGAGTGTCAACTAGATTGGATTGAATGATGCAAAGTATTGTTCTAGGTGTGCCTGTGAGGGTGTTGTCAGAGGAGATTAACATTTGAGTCAGTGGACTGGGAGAGGCAGAACCACTCTCAATCTGGGTGGGCAGCATCTAGTCAGCTGCCAGAGTGGCTAGGATAAAAGCAGGCAGAGGAAAATGGAAGACAAGACTAGTTGAGTCTTCTGGCCTCCATCTTTCTTCTGTGATGGATGTTTCCTGCCCTCAAACATCAGACTCCAAGTTCTTTGGCTTTTGGACTCTTGGACTTACACCAGTGATTTGCCAGGGGCTCTTGGGCCTTCAGCCCCAGACTGAAGGATGCACTATCTGCTTCCCTACTTTTGAGGTTTTGAGACTCAGACTAGCTTCCTGGCTTCTCAGCTTGCAGACGGCCTATTGTGAGACTTCACCTTGTGATCGTGTAAGTCAATTCTTCTAATAAACTCCCCATTCATATGTTCATCTATTCTATTTGTTCTGTCCCTTTAGAAAACCCTGACTAATAAAGATTTTGGTGCCAGAAGTGGGGCCCAAAAGAAGAGAAGGCCCTGCAACAGGTTCAGGCTGCTGTGCAAGCTGCTCTGTCACTTGGGCCATATGACCCAGCAGATCCAATGAAGCTTGAGGTGTCAATGGCAGATAGAGATGCTGTTTGAAGCCTTTGGCAGGCCCCACTAGGTGAATAACAGCAGATACGTCTAGGATTTTGGAGCAAGCCCGTGCCCTCTTCTGCAAATAACTACCCTCCTTTTGAGAAACAGCTCTTGGCCTGTTACTGGGCTTTGGTAGAAACTGAACTTTTGACTATGGGTCATCAAGTTACCATATAACCTGAACCGCCTATCATAAACTGGGTGATTCCTGATCCATCTGGCCATATAGTGGGGCATGCATGGCAGCATTCAATTATCAAATGTAAGTAGTATACACGTGATTGGGCTCAAGCGGTTCCTCTGGGCACAAGTAAGTTACTGATGAAGTGGCTCAAATACCCGTGGTCTCAACTCCTGCCACCCTGTTTTCTTTCCCCCAGCCTGCACTGATGGCCTCATGGGGAGTTTCCTATGATCAGTTGACAGAGGAAGAAAAGACAAGGGCCTGGTTCACAAATGGCTCTGCTCAATATGCAGGCACCACCCGAGAGTGGACAGCGGCAGGACTATGGCCCCTTTCTAGGACATCCCTGAAAAATAGTGGTGAAGGGAAATCTTCCCAATGGGCAGAACTTCAAGCAGTGCACCTGGTTGTACACTTTTCTTGGAAGGAGACATGCCCAGATGTGCAATTATATACTGATTCATAGGCTATTGCCAGTGGTTTGTCAGGGACTTGGAAGAAGCAGGATTGGAAAATTGGTGACAAAGAAATTTGGGGAAGAGGTATGTGGATGGACCTCTCTGAGTGGTCAAAAACTGTCAAGATATTTGGATCCCATGTGAGTGCTCACCAATGGGTGACCTCAGCAGAGAAGGATCTGAATAATCAAGTGGACAGAATGACTCATTCTGTGGCCACCACTCAAGCTCATTTCCCAGTGACCCCTGCCATTGCCCAACGGGCTGATTAACAAAGCAGCCATGTGACAGTGATGGAGGTTATATATGGGCTCAGCAACATGGACTTCTACTCACTAAGGCAGGCCTGGCTACAGCCACTGCTGTGTGCCCAGTTTGCCAGCAGCAGCAACCAACACTGAGCCCTTGATATGACACCATTCCTCAGGGTGATCAGCCAGCAACTTGGTGGCAGGTTAACTATATTGAATATCTTCCATCATGGAAAGATATTCTGTGTGCAATGCTTCTTCCAAACTACCAGCCGTGGACTCATGGAATTCCTATATACTGTAATTGTATTCCACATAGCATTGTCTCTAACCAAGGCACTCACTTTATGGCTAAAGAAGTGTTTCAGTGGGCTCATGCTCATGAATTTCACTGGTCTTACCATGTTCCCCATGATCCTGAAGCAGCTGGATTGATAGAAGGGTGAAATGGCCTTTTGAAGTCACAGTTACAACACCAACTAGGTGACAGTACTTTGCAGGACTGAAGCAAAGTTTTCCAGAAGGCTGTGTACCTCAATCAGCTTCCGGTATGTGGTACTGTTTCTCCCATAGCCAGTATTCATGGGAGAGCCAGACTCACCCTCAATCTGGGTAGGCACCATCTAATCAGCTGCCAGCCAGCCTGGCTAAGATAAAAGCAAACAGAGGAAAGTGGAAGGACTAGATGGCTAAGACTTCAGGCCTCTATCTTTCTCCCATGCTGGATGCCTCCTGCCCTTGAATATCAGACTCCAAGTTCTTCAGCTTTTGGACACTTGGACTTACACCATTGATTTTCAAGGGGCTCTCAGGCTTTCAGTCACAGACTGAAGGCTGCACTATCAGCTTTCCCACTTTTGAGGTTTTGGGAGTCAGACTGGCTTCCTGGCTCCACAGCTTGTGGATGGCCTACTGTGGGATTTCACATTTTGTTCATGTGAGTCAGTTCTCCTAATACACTTTGCTTCATATATTTGTATATCCTATTAGTTCTGTCCCTTTAGAGAACCCTGACAAACACACTCCCTGAAAAAATTGACTCTTCCTTTGAGGTTTTTGAAATAGTTTCCTCATTAACTATGTTTCAAAATCTTTAATGTGTGCTTATTTTATATTTGTGTGAGTCATGATCTAGATTTTGAGATTTACTTCTATTCATAATGAAAATATATGGGGTGTTGAATCTGTTTAGTTTGTAAAGCAGAATTTGATAATACATTTCAATTAATAAGATATCTTGGTTATTCATAACTTCTATAAAACCATGACCACACATTACAAACAATCCCATCTATTGCTGTATTAGGCAGTTAATTGAAAAGTCTTTAACATTGAGTCATGAAAGTATAAATCAAGATCTTAAGATCTTGCCTTTATTTTATTTTTTATTTATTTAAGTATTCATTTATTTTTATTTTTATTTTTTTGAGAAAGTCTGGCTCTGCCACAAAGGTTGGAGTGCAGTGAAGTGCTCTCGGCTCACCGCAGCCTCTGCTTCTCAGGTTCAAGCGATTCTCGTGCCTCAGCCTTCGAAGTAGCTGGCCTTACAGACCTGTGCCACCACACCCTGCTAATTTTTTGAATTTTTAGTAGAGACAGGATTTCACCATGTTGTCCAGTCTGGTTTCGAACTCCTGAGCTCAAGTGACCTGCCTGCATGGACCTCCCAAAGTTATAGGATTACAGGCATAAGCTACCGTGCCCGGCCTTGCCTTTATTTTATGAGTAAAATTATACTTAAGTGATTTTTATGACCATTTGTTTTAAGAAGATCTTTTCCAGAAAATTCAAAGAATTTGGGACTATAAATATTTATTATATTATAGAGCATAGTCTCATAGACTTAGAAACTGGAATAAAACCTTCTTTTGTACTCTCTCTGTAGCATATATAGTATTGTGTCTTTCAAACTATGGATTAAGTAATGGTGTCAGTTCTTGAAATGCTAGAAAGGACCAATAAGGCAAGTTAAACAAGGTACATCATAGCTGTATATCAATATTATTCAAGCATTTTATTTAAAATTGTTATTTTAAGGTTTTGCTATGTATGTGTGCAACCCAAATAAACAGAGTCCTTTTTCTATGTTGCCTAATCCAATGCAATTTTTCAAGTTAGCAGAATATAAGATTTTCATGTGGAATTCATTATAGGGAAACTTTCTTGCCTCTGTCTTCTTAATAGTTGTCTGAGGAAACACCAAAAATTGAAGGTTGCTGAATTGAATGTATCCAGTCTTTAAATTCCTGAGCGCTAACCTCAGATGAGCCATTTATGTGGCTTGTTAATCTACTACATTTCCTTAGTCCATTAACTTTTGTATTCTTAGACTCTACTTCATTAGTTCTTTTTTTTTTTTTATTATACTCTAAGTTTTAGGGTACATGTGCACATTGTGCAGGTTAGTTACATATGTATACATGTGCCATGCTGGTGCGCTGCACCCACTAACGTGTCATCTAGCATTAGGTATATCTCCCAATGCTATCCCTCCCCCCTCCCCCGACCCCACCACAGTCCCCAGAGTGTGATATTCCCCTTCCTGTGTCCATGTGATCTCATTGTTCAATTCCCACCTATGAGTGAGAATATGCGGTGTTTGGTTTTTTGTTCTTGCGATAGGTTACTGAGAATGATGGTTTCCAATTTCATCCATGTCCCTACAAAGGACATGAACTCATCATTTTTTATGGCTGTATAGTATTCCATGGTGTATATGTGCCACATTTTCTTAATCCAGTCTATCATTGTTGGACATTTGGGTTGGTTCCAAGTCTTTGCTATTGTGAATAGTGCCGCAATAAACATACGTGTGCATGTGTCTTTATAGCAGCATGATTTATAGTCCTTTGGGTATATACCCAGTAATGGGATGGCTGGGTCAAATGGTATTTCTAGTTCTAGATCCCTTAGGAATCGCCACACTGACTTCCACAATGGTTGAACTAGTTTACAGTCCCACCAACAGTGTAAAAGTGTTCCTATTTCTCCACATCCTCTCCAGCACCTGTTGTTTCCTGACTTTTTAATGATTGCCATTCTAACTGGTGTGAGATGATATCTCATAGTGGTTTTGATTTGCATTTCTCTGATGGCCAGTGATGATGAGCATTTCTTCATGTGTTTTTTGGCTGCATAAATGTCTTCTTTTGAGAAGTGTCTGTTCATGTCCTTCGCCCACTTTTTGATGGGGTTGTTTGTTTTTTTCTTGTAAATTTGTTTGAGTTCATTGTAGATTCTGGATATTAGCCCTTTGTCAGATGAGTAGGTTGCGAAAATTTTCTCCCATGTTGTAGGTTGCCTGTTCACTCTGATGGTAGTTTCTTTTGCTGTGCAGAAGCTCTTTAGTTTAATTAGATCCCATTTGTCAATTTTGGCTTTTGTTGCCATTGCTTTTGGTGTTTTGGACATGAAGTCCTTGCCCACGCCTATGTCCTGAATGGTAATGCCTAGGTTTTCTTCATTAGTTCTTATCTCATGTCAAACCTTCAATATTTTCTCCTTCATCCTCACATTCCATTGATGACCTCACTTCTCAATTTGCAGAAAAAACAAATAAACAAACAAACAACAACAGCATTTGACACAGTTGGTAACTCTCTAGAGTTACCAACTCTCTCCTCCTAGAAACACTTTATTCTTTTGAATTTCAGGGTTCCATCATCTCTTGATTTCGCTCCAATCTCACTGGCCTTTTTTTCTTAGTATTTTTCGATGACTCTGCCTCATCAACCTGACATTTAAATGATTGAATGTCTCAGAATTCCGTCTTTCACATTTACCTTCTCTTTTCTAAATAACATACATCTTTGATGACCTCATTTCATCATAAGATTGTAAATTTTTATTATTATAAAAACCTTTAAATATTTTATAATGTACATTATAGTGCATTTTATATATTATGGTATATTTTATTTTATATAATATATGGCATTTTGTAGTATAAAACATGGTTAGTGTTCAAGTTTAACTTTAACCACTCTCTTTACTTGATGCTGCGTAGGCCTTTCACATTTAAGATGTCTAAACCTAAATTTCTAAAATGTCTCCATTAAATTTGTACACTGACATTCTTCCTCAGAAATTTAGATAAGTTTGAATTCAATCATTAATCCATTCCCAACAACATTTAGGTAAAAAATAATAATAATAAAGCAAATAACATCACCCATATTTCAAAGCGACAGCATAATGAGACATATGAGTAATATTCAACTTAAATGTTAGTGAATAAATAAACAGCTAGAATTCAAAGTTGGCTGTGAGATCATCTATGTGGTTTAGTAGAGGCAGAAAACAGATTATATCAATGGAGAAGACCCCCATTCTTATGTAACACAATAACGGAGAACTGTAAGAAGGCCTGGTGGTTTAGCACACTGGTTATTGTAGTGGTGAAAGTAAAGAGTTTGGGAATTGTGCAAAACTCTTAGGTGGCTGTCCTCATATCAGAAACTTAGAAATCTATTCCTCCAGTTTTCAGGACAAAAATCTTGGTGGTATTCTAGACTCTTTAATTTTTCTCACACTGTATCCAATCTATCAATAAATCCCATAAAATATGCCTTCAAGATATCAGTCTGACAAGCTCTCAACACTACCACGACTAATACTTTGGTTCAAGTCACCATCATTACTCACCCGGATTCATGAACTAGAACTCCCTGTCCCCACCCTATCTTGCACTTAGATGCCTTCAATCTAGTCTCAACAAGCAGCTAGAATTATCCCTTTAAAACATGTCAGATCATGGAACTCCTCTGCTGAAGATTTTCCCTGACCCAAAGTTCTTAAAGGCCTACATAAATGGGCCTTTTATTATGTCTCTGATCTCATTTTTTCAAAATCTCCAAAACAGTCTCCTTGATGTACTTTAAACCCTGGCACTCATTTTGCAGTCTTGTGCTCATCCTCACCCCTACTCCCAGATATCTGTAGAAGTAACTTCTCACTTTATATCTTTGCTTAAATGTTATATTCTCCTAATGACCTTTCAACTAGTTCCACTCCTCTTACCTGGGGCAATCTAAATTCCAGTTCTCTGGTTTATACATGAATCTGGGTTGTTTGTTTGCTTGTTTTGGAACGAGAAAGTGGAGGCTCTCTTTAATTTCACTGGTCTTTTCATCTCTCATTGTAACATTGTCTAAGA
Organism: Homo sapiens; assembly: GCF_000001405.40. NCBI lineage: Eukaryota > Metazoa > Chordata > Mammalia > Primates > Hominidae > Homo > Homo sapiens. The sequence goes on along the minus strand of NC_000006.12, from coordinate 66,600,989 downwards.
CGCTCTGAAGTATGGGATTTGTTTTTGTTTGTTTGATTGTTTCTCCTTATCATTTCTCCAGAGTATTTTCTGTTTGTACAGAAAGCAATATTCTGGTAGCTGGAATCTGGCTCCATTTGGCCCATGGATTCAAGAACAATAACTTTTCCCCTTTTAGTGTGAACAAGTAAGCCTTAATGTTCCTCTCAGCTAAACTGAAATTAGACTGAAATTAGACTTCTTCTTGCCTTAGGTTCCTTACCCATCTCTCACTCTGTCCCTTACAGAATCCAGATGGTCTAACTCCAGGTGTCTCTCTTCCCTTTTCTTAGAGCGTTGACTTTAGAATACTTGCAATTATAATTTTTTTCTTTGCCCCATGATATGTAAATATTTTTGAAAGCCTACTGACAGTTTTACAACCCACGACTATCTTTCTTAAAAATCTGGGAGCCATCCCTTTAAAATGTAATTATCAAGAAATACAAACATCTGTCTCCCAGTCTCTGTGGGTGAGTGACAGCCTAACTCTGTGGGGTCTTTGCTCCAATAACAGACTACCTCGTCTTATGAAGAAGCAAGAAAATTACTTTTCCAAAGGATGAGGCCAATTAGCAAACCAAGACAGTACAGGATTTCTCCTCTGCCTCCAGCCCTGCAAGCTTTTAAAAACTCTCTAGCCCTTTGTTTTAATGAAATTTAGTTCAGACTGTATTCTAGACTCTCTTGCCAGTGTTTTGCAGAAAGTCTTTCTTGCCTGCTTAACTTTATCAGGTACAATTTTTGCTTCGACAAGGCCATATGGATGCTTGTCTTTATTTTTTTCTGAACCCAGATATATTTTCTATTTTGTCTTTTTAAAGTTTTCTATCCTTCATGTGTTTTTGGAGCAGATTCATAGATGAATGTGCTGTACTTTATTGACTAAAAGCTCCTAATTTTTCTTGAAAAAGAGAGAAAATACTTTAGAGCATTTGCTAAAAATTCAGATGAATTAGATAATTTTTTGTTTACATTATTAAGACTAGATTACAAGTTCCATTCAATTTTTTAGCAAATATTTTCTCAAGGGTACAGCACAAATCACTAAATGTAAAATAGCACTGAATAAAACAAATTGTCATTACCAGATCCGTGTAATGGAAATGAGGTTTGATAGTTGGCTAAAAGTTTATTATGAGATCTATGCATCATCCAAAGCTCTCAATTCATTTCCATGCAATGAAAGCTGCTGCTCAAATAATGATTATTACTCATCTTTCTTCAGGGAAAAAGAAAGTGCTTGTATTTAACTCTCTGGGATAGGAAGGAAGACTAATCAGTGAATCAGAGATTCTTGCTTCACAGTATGAAATTAGTGAGTTACTTTTTCTAAAAAACAACGCATGTTTCTGCCAGGCATGGTGGCTCACGCCTGTAATCCCAAAACTTTGGGAAGCCAAGGTGGGTAGATCACCTGAGGTCGGGAGTTTGAGACCAGACTTGCCAACATGGTGAAAACTCGTCTCTACTAAAAATACAAAAACTAGCTGAGTGTGGTGGCACACACCTATAGTCCCAGCTACTCAGGAGGCTGAGGCAGGAGAATCGCTTAAACCCAGGAGACACAGGTTGCAGTGAGCCGAGATCACGCCACTGCACCCCAGCCTGGGTGACGGAGCAAGACTCCATCAAAAAAAAAAAAAAAAAAAAAAAAAAAAAGAATGCATTTTCCCCCCAAACATTTTACTAACAGAATCCTGAATTTTGTTAAATAACAAGATTGAAACAGCTCTCCTCAGATTATGTTGACACAGCTCATGTGGTAATAAAGGAGGGAATAAATCTTCACATTCATAGATTTCTAAGAGTCTCTTGTATCAACCCGTGTAATATGAAGACAGAGAAACAAGATTAATGGGATGGTTTACATTGACACATGTTTCCAACTCTCTTCAATTCATCCTGTTTTCAAAAGAAATAGACTAATCGCAACAGAGTTTTGTTCCTGAAACAGTTTTAAACTTTTTATATTAAAACTAACATAAATAAAAGTTCCAAATTAAAATGAAATTTGGAACTAGTGTTCCAGGTTCAGCTAAATCTTTGAGCTTGAAATGGATGTCCTTAGGCAAAGCCTGTAACTTTTCATGAAGAGAAAAGTTGAATCTTCTCTGTTTGTAGAGCAATTGCAATGTAAATATTTGAGCAACAGTATTCTATGTGGAGTTGTCTTACCTACCTATTTTTGTCTGAAATAGGGCAGATAAACATTTAAAAAATGTTTCTCTTAATATTTACTTGCCAGTTTTTAAAAATATATAACTGAATAGTAGCATACAAATATTTAAAATTCAGTTAAGTGATGCAAAAGGCAAAATACAGACTTGATTATCAATAAGTGGTGTTTTGTTTCTCATAGATGACTTACAAGTGCTCTGTGAGACAAGAATACAAATCATTTCACATTTTACATCATTCATCACATGCTTTAATGTAGTGAGCAATAGAAAGTCTGAACCAATATTTCCTAAACTGTTCTCAGTAGCACAGTGTCCCATGAGTTGTTCATAGGTGTTCTGAGAGGCTTCGTTTATCAGATAACTTCACAAAACATTGAGCTTTATATTATCCTTTTTGGAAAACCTCTAAACATATTAGTATATAAAGACTTTAAGATGTCTTGCTGTTTAAAAATGGCATAAGATTGTTTAACTTTGTGTGGCTATGTATATTATTTTAGGAGAGCCTCTTACAATATTACTGGTAGTCCTTTCTCCCATGCTGGGGCTAAAATAATGGAGAGCCACTCCATGTGAATTTAGCTTAAAGAGGAATTGCAAGTGGTTGACCAAACCTGGGATATGAAGGAGAACCGTATTTTGAGAAGAAATAAAGAGAAAGTTGAAATGGACCAACCGTTTCCTTCCTGGAAAGAAATTCTGTGAATTATTTATTGTATTAATTGTGTATATTGTGTAACAAATTGCCATAGATTTAGCAGCTTAAAATCAGATGCGCATTCACTATCTCACAGGTTCTTTCAGTCAGGAGTCTGTATTTGGCTTAGCTGAGTCCTCTGCTTGGAGTGCGAGAGGGCTGCAGTCAAGGTATTGGCTGGTCCTGGGGTCTAATTTGATGCTAAACCAGGAAAGGATCTGCTTCTCTGGTCTCCCAGGTACTTGCAGAATTCCTTTATTTGCAGCCATAACATCTGTGGCTTCTTTGAAGCCAACAGTGGAGAAAAAGACTGTAGCAAGATGGACAGTTCACGCTTATGTAATTGAGCATGATTAATCACGTGTATCCCATCATCTTGCTGCATTCCATTAGTTAAAAACAAGTCACAGATTCTACTTCGGCAGAGGATAGCACATAAAATCACACATTTCCAGAAGCGAGCATCATAGAGGCTGCTTTAAAACTGTTTGGCCACATTAATTAATTTGTATAAGATTCAGAGAAGGAAATATCTATAAAAATTATTACTTTTTTTCTCAAAAGCAGCCATATGTTTAATTTTTTATATTGAAATCTATAAAATAAGAACTTTGCTATCACCTGCTATGGTTTGTGCAGTTCATTAATATGCATCATAACACAACCTATTATAGGATAGAATAGTCAGGTGGTAGTTCATCCTTATTTTAGAATAAAAAAGAAAACCCCATTGTCTCAGCCTAAAATCTCCTTAAGCTGATAAGCAACTTCAGCAGTCTCAGAATAAAAAATCAATGTGTAAAAATCACAAGTATTCCTATACACCAATAATAGAGAGCCAAATAATGAGTGAACTCCCATTCACAATTACTACAAAGAGAATAAAATACCTCGGAATACAACTTACACAGGCTGTAAAGGACCTCTTCAAGGAGAACTACAAACCACTGCTTAAGGAAATAAGAGAGGAAACAAACAAATGGAAAAACATTCCATGATCGTGGTTAGGAAGAATCAATATCATGAAAATGTCCATACTGCCCAAAGTAATTTATAGATTCAATGCTATCCCCATCAAGCTACCATTGACTTTCTTCGCAGAATTAGAAAAAAAAAAAAAAACTACTTTAAATTTCATGTGGAACCAAAAAAAAGAGCCCATATAGCTAAGACAATCCTAAGCAAAAAAACAGAGCTGCAGGCATCATGCTATGTGACTTCAAACTATACTACAAGGCTACAGTAAACAAAACAGCATGGTACTGGTACCAAAACAGATATACAGGACAATGGAACAGAACAGAGGCCTCAGAAATAACACCACACATCTACAACCATCTGATCTTTGACAAACCTGACAAAAACAAGCAATGGGGAAAATATTTCCTACTTAATAAATTGTGTGGGGAAAACTGGCTAGCCATATGCAGAAAACTGAAACTGGATGTCTACCTTACACCTTATACAAAAATTAACTCAAGATGCATTAAAGATTTAAACATAAGACCTAAAACCATAAACGCCCTAGAAGAAAAGCTAGGCAATACCGTTCAGGACATAGGCATGGGCAAAGACATCATGACTAAAACACAAAAAGCAATTGCACCAAAATTGACAAATGGGATCTAATTAAACTAAAGAGTTTCTGCACAGCAAAAGAAACTATCATTAGAGTGAACAGGTACCCTACAGAATGGGAGAAAATTTTTGCAATCTATCCATCTGACAAAGGACTAATATCCAGAATCTACAAGGAACTTAAACAAATTTACAAAAAAAAAAAAAAAAAACAACCCCATAAAAAAGTGGACGAAGGATATGAACAGACACTTCTCAACAGAAGACAGTTATGCAGCCAACAAAAATATGGGAAAAAGCTCATCATCACTGGTCATTAGAGAAATGCAAATCAAAACCACAATGAGATACCATCGCATGCCAGTCAGAATGGTGTTCATTAAAAAGTAAGAAAACAACAGATGTTGGAGAGTATGTGAAAAAATAGGAATGCTTTTACACTGTTGGTAGAAGTATAAATTAGTTGAACCGTTGTGGAAGACTGTGGCAATTCCTCAAGGATCTAGAACTAGAAATACCATTTGACCCAGCAATCCCAGTATATACCCAAAGGTTTATAAATCATTCTTCTATAAAGACACATGCACACCTATGTTTATTACAGCACTACTGACAATAGCAAAGACTTGGAACCAACCCAAATGCCCATCAATGTTAGACTTGATAAAGAAAATGTGGGACATATACACCATGCAATACTATGCAGCCATAAAAAAGAATAAGTCGTGCCCTTTGCAGGGACATGGATTAGGCTGGAAACCATCATTCTCAACAAACTAACACAGGAACAGAAAACCAAGAACTGCATTATCTCACTCATAAGTGGGAGTTGAACAGTGAGAATATATGGGCACAGGGAGGGGAACATCACATACCAAGGCCTGTCGGGGGGTGGGAGGCAAGGGAAGGGATAACATTAGGAGAAATACCTGAGGTAGATGATGGGTTGTTGGGTTCAGCAAACCTCCATGGCACATGTATACCTATGTAACAAACCTGCACGTTCTGCACATGTATCCCAGAGCTTAAAGTACAATAATAAAAAAAAAAAGAAAATGTAAATGCCTGTTGCAAAAGGATATAGCTTGTAAATAAAAAGGTCAGAGTACCTAGCAACATCTTCTGTCTATAGAATAAAATAACGCTGCCTAGCATTGGCTATTGAGTATCATTGATACTTCACCTGGTAGAATTTTATATCAATACAAGTATCATTCTATTTTTTTAAATAACACTTTAATTTAGGTAGAATTGCTTAATGAACTGCAAATTTGTGGAATACCTTAACTATAATTAGTTTATATATTAATCATAATTATATATTTGTGCTTATAATACGTTGTTTAAATAAAATAATATAAATAACAAGAACGTCTTTATTACATAAGGGTATCAGCTTGTCCTTCAGAATATATTCTATATGACAATTCTATATGACAACAGGATATTTTTGAGAAGGGCATGTTCAGCTTTCTTTTTCAAAATAAGATGAAAAGTTGATAATAGAAAAAGAGACTTTCTAGTTGCTTGCACTAATTAATTAAGTAATACCTGCCTGGCATGAATTTTACTTGTCTGGGGCTATTTGTGCAGCTAACTTGAGTACATGATCTACCTTTTTGGTGCACATTGAGTTAAACGTTTATTATAGGAAAAAATTTTTTAACACATTCAAGAAAATGGACAAGAAACATATTTGGGGAAGAGAAGATGATTTTCTATCCGGATTTATTGTTCATTTATATGAGTTTTCTTAGTCATTTTTTGTTATGCTTCTTTTTCCATAGGTTTTAGTATTACTTGACTTTCTGGCTCCTTAAAAGGCAACTTAGTAAAAGCATTCTGGTTGATTTTTCTATTTAAAATGTTCAACCGGGGGCTCACTCTGTGATTCAAGTTTGGTGTTTGAGAAGGAACTAACTTGAAATCAGGCCAACTGTAGTGAAGGGCTTCTGACCAAAAAAGCAGTGCTCGTTGCACAGGGGAAGGTTGAAAGCTCACATGGTGTGCTTAGTGCCCACCACTCTTCTCCACTGCTCTTGTTACACCCTGCTTCTTCCAGTATAGACATTCAAAATTTTACATGAGAATATCTTACTTGGAACAAATGCATGCCACATTTTAACATATTACATGAACACAAATTCACAAACAAAGATTGACTATATGTTACATAACAGTTTTTCAGCTTTGACTCTTTTGACATTTTGAACCAGGTTGTGTGTGTGTGAGAGAGAGGGGTTGGGGGGGGGGCGCGGAGAAAGAGAGAGAGAAAGAGAGAGAGAGGGAGAGAGAAAGAGATGGGACTGTCCTGATAATTATAGGATAGATAGTTGGATTCTTGTCCTCTGCTTACTAGATGCCACTCGTGATTCTCAGTTACGATAACCAAAAAAAGTTTAGAGTCATTGTTAAATTCCCCCTGTGGATAAACCCCCCCTAAAATAGAAAACCACTCTGCTATATAGTATGTGCTAGTAAATATCTAAAATATACATACATCTAAGAAAAATGAAATGAGAGAAAAGAGCTAATGGTGGGAAAAATGACTTTAATACATTGAAATGGTTAAGATAAAATGAATAAATTGTGTAAAAGTGTTTAATGCAGTACTGCTCAAATAGAAAAGAGTCTATCTATATTATTTAGTTGCAAAAATAGAAATGTTATAAGGATGAATACTATCTAGAAATGCTAAAAAAAACTCATTAAAATAATAAAATACAAATAGAATTGTAAGGTATCATGAAGTAAAGATAAAATTTGTGAGTTACAGACCAAACAGTTCATAACAGAGGGAGATGGTGATGATGCATATTTCAGGATAAAGTGAATAAACCAGCCCATATATTCCCTTTTTATTGTTGTTTTCAATGACCCAATTTCCAAGCAAGGACAATACTTTTTCTCTTTATAAGTGATCTACCAGGTGAGGCTTCTCTTCATTTGCTGATGCTTTAACACAAATACGTGGGCACTTTGCTTCAAGGCAAATTTTAAATAGCTATCTCATTTACATATCATGCCTTACAATGTTGGATTATTATTAGTTCAACAGGAGAGAATAAATTTATCTTGATATGATTACTATTATTTCCCTGAACACTGATGAAAATTTGGAAATATTTGATTCATTTTTCACAGCACTTGCTCAGGAATGGCTAAAGTTGATCAGAAAAATAATTATGTGTTACAAACAGGTATATTTCAATATATTACATTAGTAGTTGTGATGGTTATTACTGGGTGTCAAATTGATTGGACTGAAGAATCCAAAGTATTGATCCTGGCCGGGCAAGGTGGCCCAAGCCTGTAATCCCAGCACTCTGGGAGTCCGAGGCAGGTGGATCACGAAGTCAGGAGTTGGAGACCAGCCTGGCCAACCTGGTGAAACCCTGTCTCTACTAAAAATACAAAAATTAGCTGGGTGTGATGGTGCGTGCCTGTAATCCCAGCTACTGGGGAGGCTGAGGCAGGAGAATGGCTTGAACCCAGGAGGCAGAGGTTGCAGTGAGCTGAGATTATTCCATTGCACTCCAGCCTGGGTGACAGAGCAAGACTCCATCTTGAAAAAAGAAAAAAAAAGTATTGATCCTGGGTATATCTGTGAAGGGGTTTCCAAAGGAGATTAACATTTGAGTCAGTGGGCTGGAAAAGGCAGATCCTCACTTAATCTGGGTGGGCATCATCTAATCAGCTGCCAGTGTGGCAAGCATATAAAGCAGGCAGAAAAACATGAAAAGACTAGACTGGCTTAGCCTCCCAGCATACATCTTTCTCCTGTGATGGATGCTTCCTGCCCTCGAACATTAGACTCCAAGTTCTTCACTTTGGGACTCAGACTGGCTTCTTTGCTCCTCAGCTTGCAGATGACCTATTGTGGGACCTTGTGATCTTGTGAGTTAATACTCCTTAATAAACTCCTATACACACACACACTCTCTCTCTCTCTCTCTTTCTCTCTCTCTTAGATTGTATTTTGTAATTCGGTCCACTTTACTGTTACATTTCTCTGATGTTCCCATGCAGTATTTTTAAAAGGCAATGTAATTGTGACGATGATTTTAACCTCTTGAGTCCATTTACTATGTATGTTATTTTGGGGACTTAATGATTAAGAACTTCCATAAACTTAGCAAGATTTGAAGACTTTATGTTTAAGTGATGAAATACTTGTCAAAGATTAACCGTATCCATCTTCCTTTGGTACTATCCCCTTGAATATTTTATTTTTTAATAGAATTCTTCTGATTGATTGTCTTTATTTCTTCTTCACCAAAATAATACCAAGGGCTATTGGTCTAAAGTTCTCTTTTTTTGTTGTGTCTCTGCCAGGCTTTGGTATCAGGATGACGCTGGCCTCATAAAATGAGTTAGGGAGGATTCTCTCTTTTTCTATTGATTGGAATAGATTCAGAAGGAATGGTACCAGATCCTTCTTCTACCTCTGGTAGAATTCGACTGTGAATCCATCTGGTCCTGGACTTTTTTTGGTTGGTGAGCTATTAATTATTGCCTCAATTTCAGAGCCTGTTGAACATCGATGCAAAAATCCTCAATAAAATACTGGCAAACCGAATCCAGCAACACATCAAAAAGCTTATCTACCATGAACAAGTTGGCTTCATCCCTGGGATGCAAGGCTGGTTCAACATATGAAAATCAATAAATGTAATCCAGCATATAAACAGAACCAAAGACAAAAACCACATGATTATCTCAATAGATGCAGAAAAGGCCTAGGACAAAATTCAACAGCCCTTCATGCTAAAAACTCTCAACAAATTAGGTATTGATGGGACATATCTCAAAATAATAAGAGCTACTTATGACAAACTCACAGCCAATATCATACTGAATGGGCAAAAACTGGAAGCATTCCCTTTGAAAACTGGCACAAGACAGGGAGGCCATCTCTCACCACTCCTATTCAACATAGGGTTGGAAGTTCTGGCCAGGGCAATCAGGAAGGAGAAGGAAATAAAGGGTATTCAATTAGGAAAAGAGGAAGTCAAATTGTCCCTGTTTGCAGATGACATGATTGTATATTTTGAAAACCCCATCGTCTCAGCCCAAAATCTCCTTAAGCTGATAAGCAACTTCAGCAAAGTCTCAGGATACAAAATCAATGTGCAAAAATCACAAACATTCCTACACACCAATAACAGACAGAGAGCCAAATCATATATCAAATATATTGTTTGTATTTGTCAATTAAATACATAAATAAATTGCATAGATTTCTACTACAAATTGAGCATTTCTATGTGACTTTGGACTGGTCACTTTATCTCTCATAATAGCCTTAGTTCTTTTCCCTTGAAAATAGGAGTAGCAATAATCTACTTCTCCAGATTTCTATCTCAATTGTATAAAATACTCCCTTTAATGTATTCAACATATTACCTTTAAACATAGATAATGTTTATTAATTATAGAAATGATTATTACTATTAATAATCATTAAGAAGTATATATTTCACAGCAACCCTTCAGAAAGGGTCTTTACACTGAATATTATTAATTATTTAAGAATATGATTAAAGTTCCATAGTCAAATAATTTTAATTTGAATAAAGTTAAACAAAATTATTGTTAAAACCTATGAAGATTTCCAGAATCATTAATATGCTTATGGTTGTGACCATCTCAGAAGAATTTTTATTTGCAGCAATTCCTAAATGTATTTGACTACTTAATACTGGCAGAGGTGGGGGTGTATATCTGAAGAATTGCATTCTATGGATTTATGCTTCATAAAATGCTGCTTCATAATTACTGTCCTCACCTTTTCATCCTAGGTACATTTCCCAGTCCAGGTTTAATTAAATGTGGACATCTTCAACTCATGATGCTTAAGGACCTATCAATTCATTTATCATATAAATTTAAGCTACTTTAGAATGGTTGTATATGGAGCATATTTAGTCATTTTGGCCAATTTATGTGAAAATTAACATCTTTATTCATATATCTTGATACATTTATTTCCACAGTTAATTTTCATTATCTTTAACACATAAGCACTATTTTAAGACAGTTGCAATAAACCCAATATAATGTTGTATATTAAATAAAAACCAGTTTTTATTCTCAACTAGAATTGTACATTGAGAATTGCCTTTTATAAAGCAAAAGCTCAAAGAGATGTGAATGTTCACTTTAAGAAACATTTATGTGCTAAATGTTTCACTTGAAACACCCTTTTAACTTTTTGGCCTTATTTTTCAAAACCTCAAAACTATTCATCTTATATGTGACCACAGAGAGAGTGGCAATGAAATCACACCATTAAAACCAAGAACCAGTAATGAATTCTAAAGTGCTTAATTTGTCAAATAAAAGTAGCCATTTATCTATAAAAACATAACTAAACAAAGATGCATTAACTTAGTTGTGAAGAAGTTTCTTGGAGGCAGGAAAGTGATTGTAATACTAAATCAGCATTTAAATATAAACGATTTAAGGAAGTGTTCCAGTAAACAACGAAATACAAGTCCATCCTTAAGAAAATTGTACAATTTCAAAAACACCAATATAATGCTTTGTACTTGGCCCAGAATTATTACCCATGGTAATATTTTTTCAATACCAGGTTGTTGAGAAAGAAAAGAAAAAACAGTAAAAATAAACTGGTGTTCATCCTGTATTTTCACCATTTAAAAATCAATGTTTCCCCAGCAATTTATCTAATCTCTGAAAGTTTAATTCCAATTTTTTTTTGAGACAAGATCTCATTCTGTGGCCCATGCTGGAAGGCAGTGGCATAATCACAGCTCACTATGACCTTGACCTCCTGGGCTCAAGCAATCCTCTCACCTCAGCCTCCCAACTAGCTGGGACTACAAACTCATGTCACCACTCCGGGTTAATTTACTTTTATTTTTTTGTAGAAAGGAGGTCTTGCTATGTTGCGCAGACTGGTCTTGATCCCTATCCTCAAACCTTCCTCCCACCTCAGCCTCCCAGGGTGCTGGGATTATATGCATGAGCCATCACATTGGGCTTAGTTTCTAGGAGTTGCAATAAATAACATATTCTCCATAAGGTGATTAGGAGATTTAAAAGACATAATCCATTAAAATGTCTAACACATATCCTCTTACTGTGTTTCTGAAAAAAAAATTTTTGGAAAAAAAAGATTATGCATATCCACTTCACTTTTTATTTGTTTAATTATTTATATCTTTGATTTAAAAATTATGTACATGAGAAAAGCTCAATTATTTAAAAAGGATGTAATAACTGTATGGTAGTAGAAATGGAATTTAGATTTTTAAATAATCTTCTAGGCCAGAGATCAGATTATGTGTGAAAAAAGGAAGTTGTAAATGAAAAAGGAAGTTTAATTTATGTTCAGTGTTTTAGTTTTTTGGAAGAATGCATTTAAGTGTTTCCTATGCTAAGCTCCTTTTTTTATTTACAGATATTTCTGTTTTTAAATTGTTTATCTTAAAGAATAAAAAGTTGAGTGCATTGCAATTTATGTTATTCAGAGGATTGATTAAGTGGAAGTCTAGATTATTAGGTTAGACAATAATCATTTCTACTTATATTTTCCATTTTTAGGTGAATATATTTCATACTAACGCTGCTCTTTTTGCGCTTATCATAAATTTGCATTTTAAAACACTATAAGCTATGCCACCAAATGAAATGAACAAATTTTAACGAAAATTGCTTGTAAATGTTTAACTAAGTTTATTATATAGTGCTTCCATTAGTGTTGCTTTTCAAAATAGAGAATTATGTGATTTCACCATTTTAATAATAAAATGTATGCTGATTGTACATTAATTTAAAGTGAATTCAGTTAGATAAAAACATTGCTATTTTTGAATAGTCTAATACTCTTACATCTCATTTTTCTGGCAAATTCGTCAAGAAAGAGCCCAGTATATTTTTTCATTAAGGAAGATTATATTGGAAATCAATTTTCTTAAAGCCCCATGATCTATTATTAAATATATTTGAAAATGTCTGTAAAGAATAAAAGAAATACATTTTAATGTGATGACTGCATGCATCATCAGTTTTTTATTTGTTTTCTTCCTGCTCTAGGTAACTCTTGATGTAACTATAATTTTAAAGCAAATTGTTACTAAAATGTTAGCTTTTTAATAATTGCATTTTCAAAATTGTGTTTCAAATGTTCATCACTGTAGTCATTCTCACCTGTGCCCTTCAATGGAAGAGTAACAAATGCTATGTGTACTGGTTTTTATACTTGTCTGAAATTTAAAAGATAATCTAAGTTTTTTTAGTTCTGTATTAAGTGGAGAGTAGGGAAGAAAAAATTGCCTTTCTCTCCTACCCATCTTTTGTTCATTGGCTGGAGACCCTACAACAAGATAGAGTAACAGGAGAAAAGCACACACATATTTCTGACCTACCCCAAAGCAGGTCATAACATCCTCAGGTGAGAGATGCCCTCCTCTATACTGAGAGGAGAACAACATCCTGATAGCCAAAGACAAAGGAACAGAGAGGAATCTGAAGGAGCAAGCCTTGATAAATTTCCTCCAGTTTCCCATGCTTATGACTTGCTTCAGGGGTAAGTCAAATTCTTTTCTGCACATGCCGTTTCTCAGATTCCTTCAGCTAACATATTCAAAATGCCAAGGTGCCATACTTTGGGATAGTATGTCCTCAACTCCATCAGTAGCATGAACATGGACACACTCCAGATGAGAAATAATCACAAATCATAGTTTTTATGGACACAATTTTTATGCCAATCCAAGAGAGCAACTTACATAGTTTAATGTCAGATCTTTCATGCAGTCATAAAATACTGTGGTTCAAAAATGATTTTCAATATCAGATTCATGGTTTCCTTTAGCACTCACATACAGAATTAGAAGATTTTTCTAATTTGAGTGAGGTTAAAATTTAGTAGAGGTTCTCATTGACTGTAGCTTTTAAAATCCGTATTTTTAAAGTATTCAGTAAAATGTTAGCTTTACTGAATCTCTGACTTAGAAGAAAAATAATGGAAGGGCAAAACCACTATTTGCCCTTAAGCAATGACTATTCCATCAATAAGCAACAGATTAAAAAAAAAAACAAAACAGAAAGTATCACCAGAACACTATAGTTCAATAGATGACATCTTTGTATGTCTGAAGAAATAAATACGAATGCAAAACTTAATTCACTGAAACTCCTGTGGGTTTGAAAAATTCATATCAGATGCTGTTATCATAAACTTTCCTTTTCAAATTCTCACATTTAGAACGCTCTCACAGACTAAGATGTGAGCCCTTTAAGAGACCTAGATGTTCAGTACTACTAAGACACTCCTATTATTAAGAGCATCAATTTGTATTACCATACTGTGTCTGTGAGAGTGTGTGTACGTGTGTGTGAGAGAGAAAGAAAGAAAGAAAAAGAAAGAACGAAACAAACAAACAAAGGGAGAGAGAAAGAAAGGAAAGAGGGAGGGAGGGAAGAAGGAAGGGAAGGAAGGAAAGGAAGGAAGGAAGGAGGAAAAGGAAGGAAAGAAGGAAAGGAAGGAAGGAAGGAGGAAAAGGAAGGAAAGAAGGAAGGGAGGAAGGAAGGAAGGAGGAAAAGGAAGGAAAGAAGGAAGGGAGGAAGGAAGAGAAGGAGGGAAGGTATGTAACTGTTGCTTCTTCCTGACGTTATTATTTTATTGTTACTGTTATGTTTCCCTCACAGTACACTTTCTCTGTCTGGGAAGCTTGGTTATCTTTTACAATTCATTTCTACCATTGCTGCCCTGGAGATTCTTTCCATCTTCCTCATTGATATTTATTACTACAGTATTTTTCTGAACATTTTGTTCATAATTACTGTGTTAGCACATTGAAGAGTAGTGATCTGTTCTACAGGTCTATTTCTAACTCACACCCCCAACAGTGCTTGCATTAAAAGTATAGATTGCACTTTATTTATTTTTGTATACACTCCACATAGCAAGGGCTTGACACATATTAGCACTCTAACTATATTCACGCCAGAGGAAATCCAGTGTTCACATATTCTGTGATGCTCAGTTTACACTGTGTTTATTTTAAGGAAGGAGAGCAATATAGTCTTTTTTTTTTTTTTTTTTTTTGAGATGGAGTCTCGCTCTGTCACCCAGACAGGAGTGCAGTGGCGCAATCTCTGCTCACTGCAAGCTCCGCCTCCTGAGTTCACGCCATTCTCCTGCCTCAGCCTCTCCAGTAGCTGGGACTACAGGCGCCCGCCACCACGCCTGGCTAATTTTTTTTTTTTTTTTTTTTTTTGTATTTTTAGTAGAGAGGGGGTTTCACCGTGTTAGCCAGGATGGTCTCGATTTCCTGACCTCGTGATCCGCCCGCTTCGGCCTCCCAAAGTGCTGGGATTACAGGCTTGAGCCACTGTGCCCGGCCTCAATATAGTCTTAAGAGTATTTATTTTTCAACCAATTTGATGACATTCACATTTCCTTTCATTGAAGACCTGCAGCAAAGGTCAACTGCAACATAAATTGAGTCTTGGTCCCAACAGCATCAGGAATCAAACTCTTCACTTTTTTACAGTTCTAGCTGGAAAACATCTTAATTGTGATATCAATTAATATACAACCCAAAGGGAAAAAAAAGTAGAAAATGCCAAATACTTTTACATCACAATTTGTGACAAAAATCCTATAGGGAATACAGATATAATGAGATTAATTTATAAACATGAATACTCTGGGGAATAATCTTATTTCGTGTTTATTACATGGAAAAGAAACTTCAAACAAATCCCTTGTGATTGTGAGCAGTTACACTACCCTTTTCCATGGTGTCTTTTTCACCCAGCCATTTATATGGCACTTCATCCAAATATACTAACATAAAGCACTGAACTTGACCACTGTTCATTTTCCATCATCTTCTGCAACCTCACAGAGCGATAAACCACTCATGATATCCCTAAAGTAGTTCAACCAGGATATCAAATCTCAAAATGGTAACATGGACAGAGTAATATGGTAAAATAGAATAATCTGATGGCAGCTGAATTGTTTGGAATCAGCTTTAAGTTTTAGGCTTTTTAACTTGTTGTTTTCTTTAATTTGTTGTTGTACTTCTGGATGCAATATGTTATGAGGACTTCTTAGATAAATAATACTTGTGCTATTTTAAATGCAAGACAACTTTTCATTCAACTCAGTCACCTCTGTGACTCTAATCAAAAGAGAAATTAGGTTTCTGTAATTGGTATACAGGGAAGGTCACTTGATTTTTTCACCTTTCTTCACTGCTTGAAAAGTGAGTGGCCTTAACTCACTTATTTCCTCGAAATTTGAAAGTGCTTAATACTTTATAGATGTGCAAGCAACATTTATAATTAAAATTCTACAACATTTGTAATATCTTGTGTCAGCAGTTACATAGCAGACAAGATCACAGTTCCTTTTAATTTCACTAGCTGCTTTTTCTTGGTTCAGTGCTTCCTTAAGTTCATATCATCAGTGAACTAAATGTATTTACAATTGGTACATTTTAATATTAATTAAATTGTAAAGAACAGAACTTTTAGCATAGGAAAATGAGCATTATTTAGTGTTTCTTTAGCCCAATATAATGTCTTATGGATTTGGTTTAATACTTTATTGAATAATCTCATTCACCTCTCAAGATTTAATAGTGAGAGCAATGTGGAATTTTAATCTAAATAGCAAATTTTAGGCAAGCATAAAACCCTAACCATAAATAGGACTATCCTGGAGATAATCAGATCAATCACTAAGTTAAAAAATATAAAGTGAGAAACTCAAAGGAGTAAGAACTTCATCTTTTAAAATGAGAATCTCTATTGAGATCATCACATTGATAATAGAGATTATTGTATATATCTACTATTGTGTATAATAATCTAATATTCAGAAACATAGTATGTTCTTTTTAATGTGGCAGTGATTTACTGTCCATGTATTTCCTGCTTAGAGCTTTTGGAGTAATTTTTACCCTGGAGTCTTCCTGGCATTTGCTTTAGTAAGTGAGATATTTAACAATGTTGCTTAAGGGCCCACTCTATACAGCACTGCACCAGGTGAAAAAGCAGTATATGCGATAAAGTAGAAGACACAGAAGTGAGGTATATAATCAGACAAGAACTTAAAAAAAGTATCCAACAAATAATTTGTCTCCTGAGTTTGCAACTTATAGAAAAATAAGAAATATAGTAAGGGTAATAAAAATTTTTGTTTCTGTTTATGAAGGGCAAAGAGACTATATTCCTCTCCTCCCTTTTTGTAAATTGTTTCGTTGGAGATATAGTGAATCTGAGTTTTTACTCTAACTCTTGGGATTGAAATAAATCTCTCTAGGGATTAAGCCCAGTTTCCAGTTTTTACGATGAAGAGATATCACCAAGGTCCTAGTTAAATGACTTATAGATTAATAAAAATATATTTCCAGAATTAGCTCATAGGTGTTTTAGGAATACTGCCACAAGAAAGAATCCCTTTGATTTGTTAAAGTTATTATTCTTCCTCCTGTATTGCTATATG
Source organism: Homo sapiens (assembly GCF_000001405.40). NCBI lineage: Eukaryota > Metazoa > Chordata > Mammalia > Primates > Hominidae > Homo > Homo sapiens. The sequence continues at coordinate 66,584,023 of NC_000006.12, read as the reverse complement.
AAATATGTGACATTTTGTTCTAGCTTTGTAGTTGCTTTCATGCCAACTTACATGCATATAACTCTGCTAATGCTAGTAATAAACTGCCTTTTGTCTCCTATATTGGTATAGAAGGGTCTTCTTATAGTAGGAGTATTTTACATTCTCAGCATACACACTCACATTCACACACTCACGTACATATACACGTGCACACCTAAGAGGACATAAAGGGGGAATCGTGGTAAATTTTAAGTTGAAATATTGTAGAGATTCATACAAAATTGCTAAAAGAAAACAAATTGAATCTGCTTAGAATTAGATTAGCAATTCTCAAATTGTGTGTCCTGAGATAAGGAGGTTGAAAGTATTTCTATGATCAAATTATTTTGGGGGTGATTCCATTCCATATCTTTTAATTTTTACAATGTGTATTAACATTTGAATATCTTTGCAATAAAGAAAATATTCCTGATCGTTTTTTATGTTTATACATATATTTCACTACTGACACAATTTCTGAGCATATAGCCAATTTACATATCCTAGAAATGCCTTCTTCTGAAATACTGATTGTGAAACACTGACCTTGCTAGAATAAACGAAGGAAGAAAGATTAACGCATGGCAGAAACTTCGGAGAGTCGGAAGATTGAAAGAGGTATGATGACAGCAAATGAATGTGATAGCAAATTCTAGGCAAGCATAAAACTCTTAGCATGGTTTGAAGAGTGCAGGAAGATATTTATCTCTCTGTGTGTGTGTGTGTGTGTGTGTGCGTGTGTGTTATAACAAATAGGCTATCCTGGAGACAATCAGATTAATCAGTAAGTTAAAAAAATAGGAAATGAGAAACTCAAAGGATTTTGTGAAGAAAGGAATAATTAGAATAAGCTATACACTAAATGTAAAAAAATAAAAATAAAAATATCTAAATTTAACAGCACTACTGATAACAATGTCGCCAGTCACTCAAATAGAGAAATCCTGGGAGAGAGGGATGGGAAATGGGCATCGTTAATGGATACAAAAATATAGTTAGGTACAATGAATAAGATCTAGCATTAGATGGGACAACAGGGTGACTACAGTAAGCCATAATTTGTTGTACATTTTATAATAATAAACAGGAGAGTACAATTGGGATGTTCATAATGCAAAGAAATGATGAATGTTTGAAGTGATGTATACCCCGTTTACCCTGATGTGATTATTATACATTGCATGCCTGTATCAAAATATCTTATGTACCCCCAAAATATATACACCTATTATCTACTCATAAAATAAAAATAGAAACAAATGGAGAAATTCTATAACAGGTTTAGATAACATTCATATGTAATACATTTTATTAACAAATCTGTGTCATGATATTACTTTTTCAAACATAGTCTAGTTAAATACAATAATTAAGCAAAAATAGTAACCTTAAGAACTAGAACTGTTAAGCAAAAAATAGTAACCTTAGAGAACTGTAGTCTCAGGCATTTAATCTACAAGGAAAGGAAATATTTATTAAGAGACCTCTTACTCTGAGTACTTGGGTTCTTTGCATGTCTTTTTTCATAAAAATAGAGAGTAGGTGCAGTGTATATCAGTCAGTCCTAAGAGCAGTACAGCTCATAAGTTGTAGACTTGCTAATGTAACAAAGATCTCTAATTGTAAATGTCTGTGAGGTTTACTACATTCACAGTTACTCTCAACACAGAAGAAATGGAAAGTAGGTAAACACAGAATTAAAAAAGTATTTAAATAAAAAATAAAATCTAAGAAATTTAAGAATTTTATTTAAAATTTTAAAAAGTATTTAAATAAAAAAATCTAAGAAAATCTAAGAACATTGACTAAGTGCTATGATTTGAATGTGTTCCTACTGAAACTCTAGGGTTGAAACTTAATCCCCAGTGCAACAGTGTTGGAAGATAGAGATTTTTGGGAAGTGTTTGTATCATGCGGGCTCTGCCCTCATGAATGGATTAATGCCTTTATAAAAGGGCTTGATGGAGGATGTTTGCTCCTTTTTGCCCTTCTGCCTTCTGCCATGCAAGGATCCATCTTTCCTCTCCTCCACAGAACTCCTTCCCTCTGCAGCATTCAAAGTGCCATCTTCAAAGCAAAGAGCAGCCCTCACCAAACATTGAACCTTTCCTTGCCTTGATCTTAAATTCCCAGGCTCCAGAACTGTAAAAATATTTTTTTGTTCTTTGTAAATTACTCAGTTTCAAGTATATTGTTATAGCAGCATAACATGCTCTAAGACACCAATATATTTAAATAGATTACTTTTACTTTTTTAAAAGTATTTTTCTCATTAAAAATTGCTAATATGAGTTGTTCATAACAGATCGTTTCTCAGTATGATGTGCTCTTACCAAATAAATAACTTATAAAATTAAAAATATAGGTTTCAGAATGATTTAAAAATTAAACTGACTTTCAGTTTACAGTCACTAAATTTTTCAAAAGTATAACTTTTATACAAATGTGGGCTATTAAAGTAAATTTAAACTCATATAAACATATATTTCTCTATTAAATCTTAATACATGTATCTTTACTTTTTCGTATGCTCTTAATAAACTACAGTAAACATAAAATTAGTATTTTTTTTTTTTTTTTTTGAGATGGAGTCTTGCTCTGTCACCCAGGCAGGAGTGCAGTGGCATGATCTCGCTTACTGCAAGCTCCGCCTCCTGGGTTCAGGCCGTTCTCCTGCCTCAGCCTCCCGAGTAGCTGGGACTACAGGTGCCCGCCACCACGCCGGGCTAATTTTTTGTATTTTTAGTACAGACGGGGTTTCACCGTGTTAGCTGGGATGGTTTCGATCTCCTGACATCGTGATCCACCCGCCTCCGCCTCTCAAAGTGCTAGGATGACAGGCGTGAGCCACCGCGCCAGGCCACAATTAGTATTATACAAAATTATTTGTTATTTAAATTAACCAAAATAGAAGGAATATGGTGTTGTTAATGCTTCCAATCAACCAATCAAGATTCAGTAAAGATTGCATATTTTCACTTGCATTAAAGAAAGGTAAATTCTAGTAGATTTAAAAGTGTACTGGTGAGTATTAGAATACACTTTACAATCATTTTTTTGAAATAATTGCTCACTAATGGGGGTCATCGTTCATTGGCAAAGGGTGCTTGAAAGAAAGTTTTAAATTAGGTGTTTTCTTTCAGTTTACAGAACAACTCGTTTTGTAATTTATTTCCATTCCTTCCTTTTTTGTCCAGGTCACCAAGTATCCTCATGCTGTCTTTAATGCCTCCTCTGCAAAATAATTCATTCTATTGAGTTGCTACTATTCTTTTATTTTTAATAGATCTTTATCTTTAAAACCTGTCCATGTCCATCAGTGAAGTGTCACAGAATAATGTTACTTGGGGTTCAAGGGGAAGGAAGAAATATCTAAACGGTAAAATCCAAGATATCAGAGGCAGGTTATTGGAAAATAATTTTGGAAATATGTGTTAGCCTTTTCAGTTCCTAATAGATTATTGAATGCAGAGTATCACCAAATCTTCCAGGATTTATCAGTGCCTTTTGGGAGTTTGGGAAAAAAATGAAAACCATAGTCAAGGCAGCCACCTCTAGGTACTGTAATCTTCATGTTGAAGAGTTTGGAAAGTTTTTGCCTGATTGATAATTCCTTTCACAGCAGATATGAACCATTGCCCTTGATTGCTTTTTCTGAAATTCTTTGATTAGAATTAATCCTAAGAGCTAAACCACGAATACATGCACCCACTTATTTGTTAACAGCTTCCAAAAACAAATAAGCAAACAAGTAATCTGCTTGTTCATAGTAGAGGAATTGTGCCAGTACCTTGTTGGATAATTCCCTGGCTAGTGAGAATATGAACACAAATATTCTTGAAACAACATCTCTCTATAAATACCTTTAAGACTAACTCATGTTTGGCAGTCAGCCTTAATGTGGACTGTTTAATTAGAAATCTAATTCCTGCTTAATATGCATATTTCTGCTTACAAGTCATAGTAATGGTGTAAAACAATTAATGTGAAACTTCTGCACAGACACTCATTAAAGACTTGAAAGCCATGTGCATTTTTTTTTTTTTTTTTTTTTTTACGGACGGGACAGGATGATTAAAAGAACAAGTAGAAATTCATTGACTGAGCTAATATCATTATTTTTAGGATGAAAGGTTAACATGCTATATAAGAAAGTGGTCATTTGCTTGTGATAGTAACTGCAGAAGACAGTCCCTGCAGAGTTTGGCAGAATGCCTCACATTTCAGAAGACATTTAGCTTTGATTCAAACTTTGAAAGGAAAAAATGGGATAGCTCTTTATTTTCTCAAGCATGCTTCTTAACTATGGTTATTATCTTAAGGATGATTTACTCTTATCACAGAATACATTTTAGTAGCAAATTGGTTGATCTGAAGAGATGTTTTTTCATTCCTAATTCAAGGTCGTTTATTCACTGGTTATGGAATATTTCAAGAGTCAATCTGGAAAATATTCAGACCTTACATCTAAATACTAGCTTAACCTCATAGCCTATTAAAAACATACAGACCTAAGAATTTAGGCATTCTGAATTCTATAATTATACTGTAATACTTACTATTAGAAAACTAATGCATAAAATTAATGACAGCCTACTAAAATGCATGTAAATCAAACTCTCAATGTAAGTTCTGTGTAATAGTATAGTGCTTGGAAATTGAAAGCATCTTTGTTCATAATCCCACAATAATAATTTAGACACTTTTTTATAAAATATAGATATAAGAAAAATTGAAATAATATTATTCTTATTGCTCCTTTTTAGGTGAATTATATCTGAAAACCGGGGTACAAATATCAAATCTTGAGGAGAGACTCAAAAATTGTGGCACTTTAAAAACATTGTCAAGTTTCAAAGATAACTTGATGATCTAAATGGGTTCTGGGTTGTTGTTTTAATAAAAATATCAAAATACAAGTTTTAAAAGAAAATAAGAGATTTTATTTTCCCATTTCTTCTTGGAAGATTTTTTTTTCAAATTAAAAATTCTTAGAAAATGTGATGTTTGTCACTATACACGCACACATACACAAGTAACTTTAAAATATTATTTTTCTTTGTTGTCTTTATACAGTGATTTATAGACTGTCTTGAACACTAACTTTAGAAGGCATAATAATATTGCATATACATTTAGTAGCAATGATGCTATGGTCAAGGCAAGAGGTGCATACAATGCATTATAGAATGAAGTTTGAAATAAGAAAAGTGTGTATCCCCCCTCATGTATCTTACCCCAAATTTAATGCTACAAATATTACTCTTACAACATTTCTCCAAAGCGTAAATTGAGGATTCCCAACAAATGAGAAAAGGGCATCAGGACTGGTTCTTATTTTTATCCTGTTGGTTACCATATGCCCAATGAAACCAAGGGCAGGGCAGGGAAATGGGAGAATCAGCAGGTGTCTTTGACGGCTCTCCTAGTTTTAATGACGTAATAACAAAATAGTCCCATTGTTTATGACTGCCTTAAAGGTTACTACAAGTGAGAATTTACGTCTGGATATCTAAGAATTTCTGTAAGTTTTAATTGGGGTTCATTTGACAATATATATGCCTGTGTTGTTCTGTATTTTATTCTCTGGGTTGCATTCTGGGACAGTGCTACACAGAGCATATAAGCAAGAAGTCTGTGTCTTAGGGTAAGTTAAACTTTTGTCTGTTTCAAAATGTTAAGGTTTTCTAGGATAAAGTAAGTCAGAAAGGATGCTTGGCTTCTTACTGTGAGTGACAGCAGGATTGGATGTTTTCTCAGAAAAGCAACAGGAAATAGGCTAAAGGGTTTCTTTTAGTTCACCTTCAAACCAATCTAGGGACCCACCCAAATAATCACACACATGCACATTTAACTTGTTCCCAGCTACTTCAGCACTAGTTGACCCATGCTTAACAACAATTCCAAGTAATTAAGACAGAGTAAAATGAATATATTGAAACTTTATACTCTACAGGTGCCTCTGATGTTGATGTTAATCAAATAATTTTAATATCTGTGTATATATGATATATACACAATGTGATATATGTTTTATATATATATATATACAAATGATATATATATTTGCACATGCACTTAGCATATCAGTTTATCTTTATGTTTCACTGGGTTGACGACAAAAGTGTAAGAGAGACAGGGAAACACAGATTGTGTGAGTAATCTGAGATTCTGCATCTGTAATCCTGTATAGCTGTATAGCTGTAAAGGCAGGTAATTGGTTTAGGTTTTATTTGGTTTCCAGTTCAAACATCTCTTTCTGCCTTGAAGTTATTCTGAAATGATAAATTTATTTATTTTGTTTATGCTCTTTCCTAGCTAGAGTTGAGATAAATCCCATATCCCCTTAGGAGCTGACTAATTCTTCCAGAATTACATTAGCCCATTAATGATCTACCCTTCTGGTTCCATATGAAACTGGTAACCTTAGAGACATATATTGAAATGACTGTATCACATAAATTGACCTGGTAATTTACATATTATTTTAAATTATTTACGCACAATTTTAAGATAACTTGAGTAGCCCATTTTGTATTAAGATGAAATATATTCATGTTAATCCTAGCAAAAATCTCTCAAATTTATCCATTTTGAAGCTTACTTGTAAATCTATTGTATGTATGGATAATGAGAGGATGGCCACTATGCCATACATCATGTTTAACCAGATCACGTTTATGTTCTGGTTTATTACTGATTAATTCATGTTCATTAGTTCATGTTATGTTCAAGAGTTGAAATTTATTAACTCATGTTTAGAAGCATGGATAATCAATTTCAGTAAGCCTGAATTTAGTCATTATAATGTTTATACAGTGTTAGCACAAAGCTGTGGTTATGGAATGATAGATAAACTAAAATAAAGAAGTTTGTATTTCCAATTCTGACTATCCTACCTGGAATCTGAAAACAATGCACATTTCAAGTTCCCTTGTTTAATTTCTTTAGGACTGCTAAATAGGGGAAGTCTATATATGCTTGGATTCTTTGACCCAAAATCTTCTCATTCCTCAACTTCCCTCTCTTTTATAGTCTCTCTCTCTCCCTATTTCAAGCATTTAAACATGTAAATTTGATCCTTGTCAGTGTCCAATCCCTGCTCTTCCTTCCACCATCACACCCATCTAAATTCAATTAATTATCAAATATTTACTGATTCTAAATATTACAAAATAATAAAACCTGTTAGACATAGTTGGTCTTTGGCACTGTTGCTTTTCCTCCCTACAATTTTACTTACACTACAAATGCCTTTCAAGTAGTCTTTCTATATATAATTTATTTGATTCTTAACCCATTTTCTTCGTGGTCATGGACTATGATTTATTAATTAAGTAATATACATGTGCCAACAAATATCCTGGCTGTAATGGGCTATTCATACTTACCCAACATACCATATTGTGGTATCCGTTGTAATATAACATATTTATTCCTCAAAATCTCCCAGAATTATATCTAAAAACAATAAGATGAAAAGTTGGAATAGCCCATTCAAAATGTATGCCATTAATAATCAGAACACTAGCCCAAGCAACATAATTCTAATAAAATATTAGATAGTAAAAAAGGTAAGGTATCATTACTGATAAAGAAAGTTGGAGTAAATACAACAATTTCATTTAAAAAGGTGACAGTAGCTTGATGAGAAGATTATTAAAAAAGAATTCATTTTTCTGAGTTATGGAGACAATGGCAACATTCAGAAAAATTATGTAAGATTTTGGTAAGATTCCCTACAGCTGGCATATGACTAATCCTGGCCAAGAGGAAGAATAGGATAAGTATGAATGTCCTGGCCCTGGAGAATTTTACTGGGTTAGAGACTCATTATACTCAGTTGCTGTTTCTTGATGTGAGAAACATCACTTCTGTGTTATGCTGACAAATTTCCTAGTCTATCACTCATGAGCTAATTAATATTACCAGAATGTGCTGTAGCAGAATGGACTGTATTTCAGTACCTGGTCTTCCTAACACCCAAGATTCATTTCCCCTGCTCTTAACCAGACAAAGATTTGTTCAAATGAATCTCTATGATGTCTGCATGTATCTACAATAAAAATAGTATTTTCTGTGCATCCATTCATTTTTGTTACTGTTATATTAGAATCAGCATATGTCACTTAAAATGTTTCTTTGATAATTTTGTTAGATTTAAATTCTTCCTTATTAGGATATTTTAGTAATTCTTGGTCTATAATCTCATTGCCTATTAAGATGTCTTCTACACTGGGAAAAATTCAGTGAAATGTAAATAAATTTTAACTCAACATACTTTAAGTATTTTAATAGACTGTCCTTTGTTTGTTGTTTTGATTTCTTGCCATTTGTTCTATAAACCTGAGAGCCTAACAGCTGACATTCTAAGTAACAATATCCGAGTCAATAATGACTCTAGGAGAAAGAAAAACCTAGCATTATTTACTACTGTTATAACTGTAGCCATTGAAAATCTGAAGCAGCTGTTCATCTGCCAGCAAAGAAGGTATATATATACACTTCTTATCCAAGGCTGAAGAGTTGCAGGCCCACTGATGTGAAAACAGTACAGGATTCATTAACAATGCTTTCAACCCAAATTTTGGCAACACATCCTAAAAAAATATGGCGGACATTTTGTAATTAGAAAGAAATTTACACCAGGACCACAGACAAGGTAGCATCGAGCAATGAAATAATTACTTCTGAAATCAAGGTACGGCAAAGGATTACTAGAGTTGAATTCTCCATGTTAATGTTGTCTTTAGCAAGGTATAAAACAGGAGGTACACTGGTGATAGATAGGTAGGTAAGTAGACACATTTTTCTGCAGAGTCGTTTTTGTAATTTTATATATCAATGTTTATTCATAAATTCTAAAACCGAATATTCTCTCTATTTTCTTTAAAGCAATAGAAATTATAGCTAAACTAAGCTATCAGTCTGCAGCAATATGATACAAAATGTATCAATGTTTAATTTAAGAAATGTTATTGCACTGAGAATACTGGCTATGCTGTATTTAACATGTTTCTATTCTTGAAACTTACCCACAGTTTAATTTTTTGATAAAACATGATTTCTTTGTGTTTATTTTACAAGGAGGAAGTTGATATGAGGATATAATGTAGATGTTTGAGAAGAGTAGAAAGAAAACTGAAAGAGGAAATTAGATTTAAGGGTCCAAACATTTCTTTTTCTTCTTTGTTGATAGATACTAAATTTTTTAAAAATTGAGAAAAGAATTATTAGATGTTTATTGACAATGTATCTGTTTCAAATAGTTTAGGGACATATCTGGCTGAATTCTGAACTTCACAAACTTACTCTTTAATATAACCTCAACATTATGAGTTTTCATTATGAAAGCAAATTTAAATGTTTCAAGTTAATATTATAGAAAGTAAATTTTCTAAATAAAATAGGTATAATAGTTACTATAAGATATAAGATTACACAGAAAACTATTTACTGAAAGAACAAAAATACATTTCACCTACATATTAACATTTATATTTTTGTTTCTAATTTTTAATTTGCTTAATCATTCTCTGTATTTTATAATAAAAATATAGCCCATTTGTATAATCAGCATGGCCTAATTCACACAAGTTGAAATCATATTACCAAAAACATATTTTTATTTGTCCTTAAAAATAAGCAAGCTCAGATATGTTGATTTTACACTGAGCATTTTTCAAGGTCTCAACATATTTTCAACTGCATTGCAAGGCAGGAAATGAAGAATAACTTCACAGAAAATAAAGAACATCCAGTATAGTAATTATATTACTCAATGACAGAGAAATACAGGAGCAGTGGATAACGTATGACACTAGAAAAGTTGGTAATTGCTAGGGTATGCTGAATTCTGTATATTTATTTGCTCAAATGCAAATATGACCTAGCTATCATAAGGAAGGGTCTACATTTTAAAGTACTTTACAATCAACATAACAAACTTTATGAATTCAGTCCTTACTTATTTTTCCTCTCTTTGTAGCAAAGTTTCAAACCGGCAGAGCTCAGAGCATATGCAGAAAAGAGGAAAAGCTATCTTACTAGAATTTACCAAGTAAAGTGATTTTTTATTACTCTTACCTCCCATCTGTTGTACTACAAATCTAACCAGTTTAGACAATTTTTGTGTGTGTTTGTTTGCTTGTTTGTTTTTGAGACAGGGTGTCGCTCTGCCACCCAAGCTGGAGTGCAGTGGCACGAACTCAGCTCATTGCAACCTCCACGTCCTGGGTTCAAGAGATTCTCCCACCTCATCCTCCTAAGTAGCTGGGACTATAGGCGTGCGTCACCACACCTGGCTAATTTTTGTATTTTTCTGTCTTTTGGTAGAGATGGGGTTTCACCATGTTGGCCAGGCTTGTCTCAAACTCCTGACCTCAAGCGATCCGCCCACCTTGGCCTCCCGGAGTGCTGGGATTATAGGCGTGAGACTGCACTCAGCCAGTTTAGACATCTTTCTTCTTTACTTCACTGATTTTTTTTGAAATGTAACTGCAGTTTCAATATCCAAGAAAATTCATTAATTTTTTTTTTGAGACGGGTTCTCACTCTGTTGCCCAGGCTGGAGGGCAGTGGCATGATCTCAGCTCACTGCAACCTCTTCCTCCTGGGTTCAAGCAATTATCTACCTTAGCCTCCTGAGTTCTGGGATTACAATCGCCTGCCACCATGCCCGGCCAATTTTTGTATTTTTAGTAGAGACGGGGTTTCACCATGCTTGCCAGGCTGGTCTTGAACTCCTGACATCGTGATCCACCCTCCTTGGCCTCCCAAAGTACTGGTATTACAGGCATGAGCCACCGCACCCAGCCAGAAAATTTTATTTGTTTATTGTTACTCTTGAGCAATTCATGATAATTTTGAAAAAATAATAAAGAGTTAATTCTAAAATGTGTATAGAATATTAAGGGGCCCCAATATCCAAAATTATCTTGAAATAGAAGAGCAAATGTGGAGGACTCACATTTTCTGATTTTAAAACTTAATACAAACCTGCAGTAATCAAAGCCATGTGGTATTTGCATAAGGATAGACATAGGTCTATGAAATAAAATAGGCCAAAAATAAAACCTCATATATATGGTCAATTGATTTCTGACAAGGGTGCCATGAACATTCAATAGGACAAGGAAAGTTTTTTTCCTAACAAATGGTACTGGAAAAAATGAATATCCACATGCAAAGGAATGAAATTGGACTTTTTCTTTACACAAACATTAACTCAAATGTGTCGAGCACTTAAATGTAAATGTTAAATTTCTAATACTCTTTGAAGGAAACACATAGGGGAACAGCTTTGTGATGTTGAATTTGGCACTGATTTTTAGGATATGACATCAAAAGCACATGCAACAAAAAAAGAACTTTATAAAAATTCATAATTTGTGCACTAAAAGGTGACATCAAACATATCTAAAGCACATATATTTTTATATACATATATATACAATCTTATTTAGCTTTAACAAAAAATAAAATTCTAATACATGTTGCAACAATGAACTTTGACAATATCATGCTAAACAAGACAGTTACAAAAGGATAAGTACTGTACAATTCCAGTCGTAAGAGGTGCCTAAAATATAATAGACAAATTAAGATAGAAAATATAAGAATAGTTTGTCCCCAAGGCCTGGGGACAAAGAATAATTAGAATTATTGTTTGATGGGAACAGAGTTTTAGCTTAGGATGACTAAACAGTATTGGAGATCAATAGTGGCAATGGTGGCAAAACCATATGAATGTATTTGATGCCACAGAATTGTACACTTAAAAACACACAATAGTAAGTTCTATGTTATGTATATTTACCAAAATAAGATAATTGAGTGTTAAAGATAATAATTATATAATATGTGATTTAAAAATATGCAATTAAAATGCATACTTGTACACTAATGCAGACTAATAACAACTAATGCATACTAATTATATGCATACTAATAGTAACTAATAATCTGAAAACAAACCAAATGACCATTAACAGGGAAATGGCTAAATTGTGGTATATTCATATAATAGAATACTGCTCAGCAATAAAAACAAATTTATTATCTATATATAGAATAACAAAGATAAATTACAAAGAAATTATGTCTAGTGAAAGAAACCAGACAAAAGATCATGCAACATGTACAATTTTATTTTATAAATGCTAGAAAATGCAAACTAATCTAAAGTAACCAAAGGGGTTACTTCTGTTACCCCTACTCTTGCCTAGAGATGTGGCAGTGGAGTTCCGTAGCAGGGTGGAATGATTACAAAGGAGCACAAAGAAACTTTCAGGGATAAAAGGTATGTACATCATATTCATAAGCTGTTAAAATTTAATGTACATACTGTGAAAGGAAAATATATCTCAAGACCCTAGAATCACTAAGCCAAATAAATGGAAAAGTCAAGCTGAAAACTGCAGAGGGCAAACCTGCCTCCCATTCTATTCCTAAAAAGATAGCTACAAATAAAAATGCTACATACCCTCCTTACAATTGTCCACAAGGAAATTCCTTGTTGGCAGTATCTGATTGCTTCCTTTCGAAAGGCTAATCAGAAACTCAAAGGAATGCAATCGTTTGTCTCTTATCTACCTACGACCTGGAAGCCCCCTCCCTGCTTCGAATTGTCTCGCCTTTCCAGACAAAACCAGTGAACATCTTACATATGTCAATTGATATCTCATGTTTCCTTAAAATGCATAAAGCCAAGCTGTGCCCCAACCACCTTGGGCACATGTCATCTGGACCTCCTGAGGCTGTGTCACAGGCCTATCCTTAATCTTGACAAAATAAACATTCTAAATTTAATGAGACCTGTCTTAGATTTTTGGGGTGCACAATACTAATTACATAGGGATATTGTGAAAGTATAGATTCTAACTCAGTTGGTCTGCACTGGGACCTGAGTTTCTAAATTTCTAATAATCTCTCAGGTTATGTCAAAACTGTTTCTCCTAATGCTGCACTTTGAGTAGCAAAGCTGTATTACATTGTTTCACAATCTATCTGAAAGAAAGGTCAGATTTTATAAAAAATATTTTTCAAACAGTTATATACTGATATAAATAAAAATGAAATAAAAGCAAAGATACAAAAGTATAACCCATGTTATTGGATGTGACAGAGGTAACATACTCTGTCAAATAACATTAAAATTTCTAATTCCTTACTCAAAATTTATGCAGGTAAGTTGCGATAACAGTTTATGGTTGGATGTTAGCCCATAGACCACACTTTGAGAATCACTGTTCTATTGAGTATTCAGAATAATGGTAATTTGTAGCACAGTATTATTCTTTTCTTCCTGAAAGCAATCAGTATTCGCATTAAGGTTAGAAATTATTTTAATGGTACACTGTAAGTATTGCTTCAGGCTTTGTTTTATCAGTGTGGCATCTGTGTCTCCTGATTCACAAAGCTAGCACTTGGCTTGGTGAATGTGTATTCAATAAGCATTGGCTGAATTATTAACATCACACAGTGATAGGCCAGGCTTGTCCAACTCGAGGCCTGAAGGCTGCATGTGACCCAGGACGGTGGCTTTAAATGCAGCTCAACACAAATTTGTGAACTTTCTTAAAACATTATAATTGTTTTTTGCATTTTGTTTTGTTCTTTTTAGTTCATTAGCTATTATTAGTGTTAGTGTATTTTATGTGTGGCTCAAGAGAATTCTTCTTCCAATGTGGCCAAGGGAAGCCAAAAGACTGGGAAATCCTGGTGGTGTTATCTCTGGCAGGTATCTGAGTTACTGATGGTGAATCCATTTGGGTCTGCAGCAACCTCAATTCTTGCCTCCTCAGAAGAAAGGATTTGACTGAGTGGTATAAGGCAGAAGAGGAGACCGAGGCAAATTTTAGAGCAAGAGTAAAAGTTTATTAAAAAGCTTTAGGGCAGGAATGAAAAGAAAGTAAAATAGAATACACTTGGAGGAGGGCTAAGTGGGCATCTTGGAGGTCAAGTGCCCTGTTTGACCTTGGACCTAGAGTTTTATATGGTGGCCTACTTCCAGTATCTTGTATCCCTTTTCCAGTGGAATGTCCCCAGAAGGTTATATATCAGTTAAACTCTGCCATTTTGCCTCTTAATGAGCATGATTGAGCCCAGTCGCCCAGTTCCTGAGGTTTTATTGGGAAGCTGCCAATCAACAGTTTCAGGTGTTTTTATCTATTGGGAAACTGCCTTTTCCTGGCACAGGCTGTGACCAATTATTATTTTAGAAAAGCAGTGTGATAACTGCCTGACCATCACCTGATGGTGGCCTGATATTCCTGGTGGGGTGGGGGTAGCCATCTCCTTCCCTGCTCATGCCTGTACTCAGCTACCTACTATAACAGTGGTAGGTTGTGATATTGATATAGGAATTGAGAAGAAATTACTTAGGCAGACAGTAAGGATATGGGAGTCCTCAGTAAGGCTTTTCTTTTTAATAAAAAGTAGCCCCAAATTGTTTTCCTTTCTAAACATTAAAGAGCAGCCTATAAAACCGAGCTGTATACATAGATACCAGCAGTTGTGCCAGTCATGTTCAAGATGGTCACTCCATCCTCCCTTCTCTTTGTTGGCCACATATACAGTAAGAAGCAGACAGATGGCACTGATCAACTGGAAAGCCCATTTGCATAATAAGATATCAGCCTTCTCCATGCATTATGTAGAACTCATACCTGATCAAATCAATCTGTGAGACCTATGTAAATCAGATATCACCTTCTACAGGTTTATAAAATCTTCTGCAGTCCACTGCCTCCCCCTTTTTTTGGATCTCTCTCTCTCTCTCTCTCAATCTCTCTTGCAAGGAGCTGCTCTCCTCTCTCCTTTTTTTCTGTCTATTAAACTTTCCACTCCTTAACCCACCCGCATGTGACCAAGTCCTGAATTCTTTCTCGGCATGTGACAGCAAACCCCAAGGTATATATCCAAGACAGCATAGCCGCTTTATAATGAGGACACGTCCAAGATACCAAGGTACAACATTCATCGAAACAGTGAGTAGAGGAGTGGACATCAACTTTGTCTCTTCATTCCAAGGCTCTCAGCCTCCATTTTAGGCGTTTCATGGAGGACTTACCCATTGCATGAGGCTGGAATAAGTCCTGGGTCAACTGAGGTTTTCTGGCTGGGACTACCCCCAGCGTTATCCAAAGGCTTCTGGACTGACCCCAGCCTCTGACTGTTTCGATGGGTTATTGGCAACAGGATCTCCAAATTTCCTATAGTAATTTCCTCCCTTCCTGTTCATGACCATCATATCTCTTATCCTCTTTGTGCATGAAATGTGTGGGAAGTTTTACAGTTCAGGGAATCTTAGTTTGGCAAGTTCAGGGAATGTCGTAGTAACTGGATATATAGCTCAAGGGAAGGTGTCTTTGTGAATTTCTGGGAACAGAGGGCTCCCCAGGCCACAGTGAGCATCTCTCTCTCTCAGCCCTCTCTCTCTCAGCCTCTCTATGAGGAGAGCTCATGGAGCGCACATGCATGTCAAGGTCACTCTGGCCTGGGTCTAGAGAGCTCATGGCGTCTTAAAGTCAACCGCACCACCTAGTGGAAGAGGGATCCTCTCCATGAGAAATATTGTGGGTCCTTTAACAAAACACCTCAGCTTCAAATTTCTCTCTCCTTTTTGCACATTTCTACTGGAAACAAGGCCTCATGCTGCTCCTGTAAATGAGAAAAGTCTATCTTCAACAATTAGGAGTAAAATATCTTCCAAAGCCAAATTTTAGTCTAGATGCTGTCCTTTCAGCAGGAAAATGGCCATTTGTTTTCTAAGTTCTTTTAAGGCAACTATTCTGCCTTTAATTAGAGCAGTACTTAATTAGTAAAGGGATTTTAAGTTTGGAAGTTAACTGGAACCATTCTCTAAGGGTAAACACTTCAGCATGGGCCATAATAGGAGGATACAGAGTTCAATCTAGTACAACCCCTCCATTAAAGGAGCCTTTCCCAACTATTACATAGTTTTTCTTGAGATCCATTTTTTGGGGGGCCAGGAAGGTCACACAAGTCTAGGAAGTCAAAGGGAAATCACAGGCACAGGACTAGAGCCACTTGGGTGAGTGTGAATAGCCCCAATAGCTTAGTGTCTCTGGTTCCATGGCTGGGGGCCATGCCTGCAAGCATGAGTGGCACATTCAACAAGAGGCCAGGACCCAGGAACCATGGAGGGGAAACAGCAGGGGAGATGCCTCTTCTGTCTTCCTATCCACCCTGGGTCACACCAAAGGAAGGAGACTAAAGGGATGCCTTTTTGTCACTTATCTTTCTAGTGGGCACCATCTTCAGCCTGCACTTCGCTGGAGTGCATTACAAAGCATAAGGACTCCTTTGACCCTGGAACGTTGAAGAAAAGGTGTTTTTTTTGTTGTTTGTTTGTTTTTGACACAAGGACGTGGCATTTTTACTAGACCTTTTAAAGTGTTACAGAATCAACTGAGCCCTTTTAGCAATCATATTGGGTAGGCTCAAAGAGAATAATTCCCCAAAAGCCAAGAAACAACTTCCAGGGGAACCATTTGAGGATCCCCCTTGTTTGGGGCCCCTTCAAGCTCCCTTCTCATTAAAGGACCTTAGGTAAATAAAGGGAGACTTAGGTCGATTTTCTAATGATGCTGATAGGTACATAGAAGCTTTCCAAAATTTAACTCAGGTATTTCACCTCTCATGGAGGCATGCCATGCTTCTCCTAAGCCAAACCCTAACTGCAGTTTAGAAGCAGGCAGCTCTGCAGGCAGCAGAGAAATTCAGAGATGAGCAATATGTCTCTTATACTAGGCCTAAAAGGAAAAGAGGAAATACAGAGAGCAAAGAAATGGGGAAAACACCATTCCCAATAGGATGAGAGGCAATACCTCTTGAAAATCCTAATTGGAACCCACAGACTTTTCTATGTTGTTTTTCCTTCTTTAACAGTTTAAAATGGCTCTTTTATAATGATCTTCTATCGTGGGAAAAGTTAATTTCCCCAAAACTTAAAATTCTTGGCTTAGAGTTGAGCTAAGGGGAAGGAAACCCCAAAGCCTGACATGCTGGCAAAAGAATAAAAGTTTTTTGTTGTTGTTGTTTGTTTGCTTACCAGTCAGTCTTTTGACTTCTGTCTTCCTATGCAAACTGGCAAAAGGGATAAGCAAGGACAGCTTGGGGGCTGGAAATAAAATGAAGTTGGTTGGGTTGGATCTCTTTCACTATCTCAGTCACAATATTGCAATGATGCTTTCAAAAGCTGCCTATCACCCCTTTGAAAATACCTCATACACTGGTGGTTAACTCATAACCTAATTAAGGCTTATTGGTTTCTCTTGTGAGGTTAGTTTTTGTAAAGTTCTAAAGCTAAAAATCTTACCTGCTGGCATGGCTAAAGTCTAGTAACATGGGATTTAAAAGGATATTCTTAAAGAGTGCGCAGCTTAATTAAAAGTGGATACTCAAGTTTTAGGTATATTTAAAAGGCCTTTTTTTTTCTCTTCTTGGATTTTTTTTTCTTCTCAGTTAAGTGAATTATTTTTCTCCATTTTTTTTTTGTCTTGCCACTCTTAATGCATGCATGAGAGGTCTTAAGATAAGTTCTGGTAGTGTGGGACTCCTTGGGAAAAACAGAGGAAGTGCCACAGACCCTGCTTTAGGAAAAAAAAAAATCTGTTTTTCCCATAAAACCCCAGGAATTAAAAGCAGATATTTCCCTCTCAGAATCAAAGGCTCTGCTCTGTTTTGCATTGTATTATTGGACAATTTTTAGTTTTGGGGGTATCAAGTTACTTCACAATATGAGAGAGCTTTGGTGTATAATAACTAGGTAGGAAATACACTTTAAGGGATAACTAATAGTAGTTATAAATCAGGGAAGCATGCTGTTGGCCATCTAAAAGATAGTAAAACAACCCCATCCCCCACTGACAGATGAGAGTCCCAGGGGGATGGGCTGATTACAAAATAAGCCGATTGGCTTTTTCATTGCCTTTCAATGAAATACATGGTAGAAGCACTGCACTGTGTTCTCCCGTAGTTTCTCCCTACTTTGGGGATCCAAAATCCAGTATAAAATGGCACCTTTAATTTTAGGGATCTGTCTAATTAGGTCTGCTAATTAGGCCCTAAAAATGCATGGTACCTGGCCCTGTTCCTCCAAAGGCTCCACCTTGAAGCCAGTAATCCAATTACTAAACTGGCAAATGAAAAGTCTTGCCAGTGCTGAATCATCTGTCTGTTTGTGTCGCTGTATATGTGTTATGCATAATGTCTCTAAAAAGAGCTCAAATTGATTGGCTTAAAGAAAAATAAGCACTTAAATCAAATATTTTTAGTTCACATGACTTTTATCTTTAAGAAATAAAATTAGTCTTAAGGATTATTGGTAAAATGCACGTGCAATCAAAATGCAAATAGGTGGTCTAAATTATACAACTTAGATACTAGGTTTGCTAAATGTTCCAAGGTTGTATACTTCCTGCTTTACAGATAGATAAGGCCTGGGACATGTGGAGTTAGATGCTGGAAAGAGTCATACCTTATGTGTACTTCTGTCTCGGTCCTAGGCTCCACACCAGGTATATAATTAAAATTCCTTATTAACTAGGTTTTTAACCAAAACTAAAAGTTGCAAAGAGTTAACAGTGCAACATGTATTTGAGATCACTAAACAGTTTTATATGCAAGGCATATAAAAACAGTGAAATGCTTATTTAGTAAAAGATTATAAGAAAGCATGGAAATATACATTTTGCCCGGGGTGAAGGATTATGTTAAATTTGATAAGATAGAGCTAGAGGTTTAAGCAAGTTATAGAAAGATTGTACCAATTAATCTTGCAAAAATGTGTAAGCATAAACTAAATTCAAAAGGGGTATTATATGGTCTTTTCATAAGTTGAGCATTGAAATAAAAGCACAGCAAGGTTGTTTGGAGATAATAATCTGTCCTTTGGCAAGAAGGTTATAAAAGATTTATAAAGATTTCACCTCATGGTCAAATTAGTTAAGATTAAATGGAATCATCTATAAGGTTTCATTTAAAGAAATTAGAGTTCACATTAATACATGAATGCAAGGTTAAAATTTGGCTTTAAACAGGATTGTTATCTAATAGTAAAGGCTAATGAAAGGTTTTTGCCTTTTGAGTCATCATTTTGAAAAAATAAACAATTTATGGCAATTTGGAATTCTATTTTATAACATCAAGTGTTTTAAACCTCTAACATTTAGCAGGCATCCGAAAATCAAATGTCAACATTCAAAATTGTCTTTCCTGATGCCTGGCTTTCGGAATGGTTCAGAGGGCACCTAAAGCATTTCGAAAAGAGGTGAACAGGATTATTTGACATGTTTAGTCACGTGAGATTGTCAAAATGATGTCCAATCTTCTTTAAGTTATATTTTGGTGAATAATACTAATACATGTTCCCAAATTGTATGGAATTTCTAAAATTCTAATGTCTAATATATGCTATCAATCATAATTAAGAGTAATGTTATTGCAAGCCATGGAGATAACTAATTTTTTCTACCAGTCATGTTCTTAACTGTAAATACCCTGGAAATGTTGTCATTCGCAGACAATCGTTGTCTTGCTTTGTTCCTTCTCCAAAGATGGGTTATAATCAAGCTATATTAAGGACTTTTATAGGTGTTCTCAAATGCAGGTTTTTAATAGCTTTGAAGATTGTAACATTGGAATAGAAAAATAACGTATGGGACTCATGAAAAACTGAAATATTCACAAATGTCAAGCAAAACAAGAGTTAACTAAATGGACTGCACTCAAAAAAATAAGGCAATCTTTTTTGACTTTTTCTTGGAATATTGCTGATCCTTGTTTTGTTTTTCAGAGTCAAGGAAACTTATTTTGAGCTATTTTTGATGATTAACAACTAAGTTGTACTCCTGTTATTAAAATTTTGAGCATGTTTGTTTCTCTCTGCCTAGGTCCTCTAGAATTTGGAAACTATCTGTGAGCACTTTTAACTTATGGCAATATAGTTGTTGCATCAGTGTAATAAGAATCCATTTTTTTTTTCAACAGGACATGATTGGAAAAACTGGTCATTTCATCAAGGCTTTGACTGGAAGGGTATGCTTCCATTTAAGGTGTTAATCTTGACTTGCAGAGCTGATAAAAGCCCCATGGGGCACCTGGCCTCTTACCTTGTCTACACAGTTCCTATACAGGGTTCCTAACCTGTGGTCTGAAAAGAATGTCACTTTCTAACAGGTCTATGATCTCCCAGTTTATCTTGGAACCTTTAGAGAACAAGATCACCCAAATCACATGTATATGAGTATACAAACCCATGGCTGGGCTCGACTTTAAGAGTTCTTATCTGAGATTCCTTGTAAAACAGAGTTCCATCAAAGGCAATCCAAAAGGCCAATGTAGAAATAACCATTCTTGTTGCACTTTATGCAAATAATCAGGCCAAGTATAAGACTTAATTTTATTGTACAAACAACAAAGTCCTATAATAATATGTTTTTACCAAGCATGAGTACTGGAGAGAGAAATTATGTTCCAAAGCTTATCATACATTTATCATTAAATCCTAGTCTCATTGTTTTTAAACTTTTTGCCTGCATTTTAGACTTATTCCTGTGAATCAAGTGGTGATCTCCTAAAGCTTGCAAGAAACAAAAAGGGATGGGTAATGCAAATATCTGGATCAATATGCTAGTTCTGGGCAATTATCCTGCAAATTCTGCCAGGTAATGAAAATGAGTAGGGTGCCCATAACCTGGTGGTTTCTTTGTTTGGCAAATTAAAACCAAGGAACTTCATAGACCCCCCAAAGGGAAGTTGTATGTCTTGGTGAGTAAAATTTTAGATGGAAATAATCTACTATATCACCCATGCAGGAATTGCTACAGTCACTCTACTATTTGCAGAGGAGCTATAGATGATACTGATACATTGGATAGAGAGTTTCCATTGCCGTAGTATTTTGCTTAATTATTGTCCTTATAGTAAGGATAATAGTCACCAACACAAAGGAAGCATAAAAGTTCTTCTATCACTGAGTCTGCTAGAATATCTTATTGGGTTTGCTAATATGTCACACCCTGGCTATGCAAAGGAGATTATAAAGGAAAGAGATTTTATATAAGAAAGAATCTTATATGGCAAATACTTTTCCTGAAGAGAATAATTGGTTGTTTAAAAGAGGGACGTTTAGGACAAGTCAGAAGGTTTCAGCAGGTTTACTGTTAACCGAGGTTAACACTAAAGTTACTCTAGCCACCAAAATCCAATGCCACATATTCTAAAAAGAATGTTACTTTTATATTAATGTTTCAGCAGCATCTGATGGAGGCAAACCAGTATCACACCCCATTTGAATGACTGAAAGCAATCAAGCTCCAAATGGTGCTACAGACTGAACCACGTAAGGACACACCTTTCTTCTAATGACCCTTAGATCAACCCAGGAGGAACCCTAGCTGCTGTTCCCACACAACACCCCTTTTCATCAGGAGGTAGTCAGAAAGAATCGTCATCCAACACCCCTAAAAGCAGTTAAGGTTATCACTCCAGAAAGGGAAATAATGTATAGGTTAAGAAGAAGTTACTTGGGCAGATAAGTAAGGGTATGAGAGTCCTTGGTAAGGCTTTTCTTTTTAATAAAAAGCAGCCCCAAATTATTTTCCTTTTTAACAAAGAGAAGCCTGTAAAATCAAGCTACCCACATAGATACTGGCAGTTATGCCCACCATGTTCAAGATGAGGCTCCATCTTCCATTCTCTTTGCCAGCCATGTGTACAGTAAGAAGCAGACAAGATGGCAGCTCTCAACCAGAAAGCCCACCTGCATAATAAGATTAGGGTGGGTGAGCAGCCTTCCCCAAGCACTATGTAGATGTCATACCTGATCAAACCAAGCTGTGAGCCCTATGTAAATCAGACACCACATTATCCAGCCTGCCTATAAAATCTGTTGCCGTCCACCAACTCTCCCCTTATTTGGATCTCTCTCTCTATTGCAAGGAGCTGCTCTCCTCTCTCCTTTCTTCTGTCTATTAAACTTTCCACTCCTAACCCACCCACATGTGTCTATGTCCTGATTTCTTTCTCAGCATGTGACAATAAACCCCAGGTATATACCCCAGACAGCATGGCTGCTTCTGTATTTAATTAGATTTTTTAAACCCATTTATGTATTTTTAAAGAAATATTTATTGCTTGTACTGTAAAATAACATTGAATAGAAAGTGTTCTATCATACCTAATTTCAGCTAGGATTTCCAGTCTTTCTGTAAAAAGAAGAAATCCTGTAACCATTATTCCATATTCCCTCACCAGGCAACTGTCTACAGGTGTCTAGGAATTCAACTTGGAATTAACTTGGTGACGTAATGTTGTGAGTCTTATGGGTAGAGAGGCTACTGTGGCTTATTATTTCCTCTACCAGTGTAGATTCTCCTCATAAAGTTAAGTGAAGGGGCTGGGCGCGGTCGCTCACGCCTGTAATTCCAGCACTCTGGGAGGCCGAGGCAGGCAGATCATGAGGCCAGGAGTTTGAGACCAGCCTGACCAACATGCTGAAACCCCATCTCTACTAAAAATACAAACAAAATTAGCTGGGCGTGGTGGTGCGTGCCTGTAATCCCAGCTACTTTGGAGGCTGAGGCAGGAGAATCGCTTGAACCTGGGAGGCAGAGGTTTCAGTGAGCAGAGATCGAGCCACTGTACTCCAGCCTGGGGAACAGAAGGAGACTCTGTCTCAAAAAAAAAAAAAAAAAAAAAAAAAGGTAAATGAAGGGCAGAAAACACTTAAGAGAACAATTTGCATCATTGTGTTGACTGAATGCTGTAAATGTCTCACATTTACAGTGAAGTGGTTTCATGTGTGCCATCTATTTTTCTGATTGGTCTTAATAGGTTTTTTTGAGCACAAGAGAAGGGAAGGAGCGGAGTGATAGACAGAAGAATGCAGTGGGACACCCATCATTTTGAAAGGCAAGACTGATAGTTTCATGTGAATAACGTGGGTGTTATAAAAGTTAGGTGGTATTGAGCAGCAAGATTGTGAAGTCATTACAAGTATTGAAATCTTGGAGGAAAGTTAGAAAAGGAAACACAAATTTTCAGATATTAATAGTTGTCTAAAGGATTCTCACATAGGCTCCACAAATAAGGAAGTGTTTGAGAAGGCATTAGAGAAAAAAAATGATCTATTGCCGCTTATCTCATGTCAGATCTAATATAGAAATATGGAATTAGCATTAAAAGACTATAAGAATGAAGTTGTAAATCTTATTATATCTGATTTTTAAAATATCTGACTGGGACTATGAGACTAGAAAGCTAAAGAATCTCTTTGAGATACTGTTCAGAGATAGGAAGTGAATGACAGCTTTTTCGAAGGCAGATGGATCCTGCTTAGAGTATCTAGCAGGTTTGCCTTGCTTAAATAAGTCAGAACTCTAGGGGAACAGGACAGAGTGTATGGATGGTTTGGTGTGGTTTCATCACCATTACTGTAGCAACAAATATGCAAGATATCTTCTGATTTTTATTGTGGCTTATTGACATTGTTACCAGTGGAAAATGTCCAAGTTCTTGGCATCTTGAGCAAAGAATTGGACAAAACGCACAAAGAAAGCAAAGAAGGAATAAAACAACAAAAGCAGAGATTTATTGAAAATGAAATTATACTCCACAGGGTTGGAGCAGGCCTGAGGATAGGTGCTCAAGAGTCTCGTTACAGAATTTTCTACGGGTTTAAATACCCTCTAGAGGTTTCCATTGATGATTTGGTGTATGCCCTATGAAAATAAAAAGGATGAAGTAAAGTTACAAAGTCATTTACTCAGTGTATGCCCTGTGTAAATGGAGAGAATATTTCCTATCATAGCTGAAGTGTTTCCATTCGATTCAGTTCTAGGAAGTCAGCGAGAATCATGTACATTCCCTGTCTGCAGATCTCATTCTCCTGCCTCAACATACAAAAAAAAATCATTTCCTTTTAGTGCTTCTGATTAATCATAAGGCATTGTGAAGGAGCAGTGATGTTAATGTGTACAAATTTAACTGATTTGTTCCAAGTAAGGACTATATTCATAAGCACAGAAGTCTTGATAGTTAGAGGTGATAATTATTTGAAAAGACAATCTTATTCAACATAGCTTTTTAACAATTTAAGATTCTGTCAATTTGTTTTTTCTCTGAATGTTCATTCTTATTTTCTTAAGATTGCCATTTTCTATTTCCATAGTGATTTCCGTATCTTCTAGTTACTTTCAGCCTTCATTTTAATGATAATAACTGCCACCATTTATTGGGTAGTTATGTATTTAAGGCACTGCTAAATGCTTTATGTGCATTATCTGTGTGAGTTGGTATTATTATTTCTGTTTTTTCCCTAAGAAAATTTGTGTGGATATTGCATAAATTGCACTGGTTTTCACTACTAGTAAACAAAAGAACCAGAATTCAATCTACAATTTATTTGATTCCAAAGCCCAAATTTTAGTCTCAGTACTACTTTAGTAATAATAATGCAGGGTGACTCTTAAAAACAGAAGGGATTTACAAAGGAAAACCTGACCATGACAGTTTTCTCCTGTCTCAAGTAATAAATATATGCCCAACTCAATATAGAGAAAGGAGATGTCTATTCTAAAGCCACACTAAATGTACATATTTCCGTAACTGACTATAAATACTTGTATCTTTAAACTGAATAGTCATTAGTCAGGCTCCTAAAATTTACAATGAAAATACATGCATACATTCCCTGTGGTAAATGTGTTCTATAGAAAGATATAAAAGAACATAACACATTTTTTTTAATCACTGGCACTTTGGACTCTATAGTGAAACAGGCAAGCATGCTAGGTCTTACAGGAATCTGATGGGTTGGTTAGTATCACATAAGGCAGCAAAGTGAGCAGAAGGCACTCAACTTTTCTTTGTTCATATAGCATTCACACTGTCTAGCTAACAAAATGTTATTGTGAAGGTTTACCTCTTGTCTGCAGGGCCCTTACTGGGTAGAGTTATAACCATGGCCTCTATTATTTTGCATAGCCATTGACCACAGCAAGTTTATTCCTAGTTAAGCAATCAATTAATAGCAGAGTAATAAAATTAATTACATTCAAAAATTATGTTATGACTCCCTGTGCAGAAATCTTGGTAAAATGGGACCCTCTCCACTCCATGCCCAGGCATAATTCCAAGTACTCAGTGCACCCACTTGCCTAGATTGGGAGCCTGAGCCACTCTTCCCTTCAGATGCAGAGATCTTGGTGCAGTGGCACCTTCTCTGCTTTACGCCTTGTCATATCTGCAGGCATTTGGAGCTCCCACTCTTCTAGATTGGGAGTTTAGGTTACCCCCACTCCCTGGACAGAGAACTTGGAACAGCAGAGGTTTATCCACTCCACCCCTTGGAACGTCTCCAGATGCTTGGCAATTTCTCCCCAGACCCTTCCTTTGAGCTCATGCTCATTCCTGCCATTGAGACATGTAGATAATCCTGCCCAATCCCATCCTGCCTAGCTTCATCCTCCAACCCCCAGCTGGAGCTGGGAAGGAATCTCCTACCACAGTGCATTCCACAGGACAGCCTATTGCCTGAGGCAACAGAGAGCTTTTCAGGGTAAACAAAGATGAAGTATATACCTATCTGTATCAGCAATAGCTGACTCTTATCTGTAAGCACCACCTACTGGCCTGGAGGTTGAACTACATAATCCAATCAAAAATTCACTGACACAAGTGAATAGGGAACAAGGTGAACTTTCTGAGATTGCTGCCACCCCAGCCCCACAGGAAGTGAGTCTGCTCACATACCAGTACATCAATACTAAAACCAGCATTTGAGAAAACCACCATACAAAGGCATTTTATACCCAAGAAACATGCCATTGAAAGCATCCAGAATCAAAGCCAAAGGACTCTACACAATACATATTATAATCACACTCTAGGGGGAAAAAATTCTCATCCAAATGAAAGTAAATTTAGAATTAGGAAAAGAAAGCTCATCCAGATGCAAATAAGTCAGAGAAACAATTTTAGAAGTATGAAAAACAGTGGTATGACACCCTCAAGGGATCACTCTAGCTCTCCAGCAAAAGATTCTAAACAAAATAAAATATTCAAAATACCAGATAAAACATGAAACATATTGATTTTAAAGAAGCTTAATGGGATCCAATAGAATGCTGAAAACTAACAAAAAAATAGAAAAATAAGAATAGAAAAGAGGTAGATACTATGTTTTAAAAATACAAAACTTCTGAAAATAAAAAATTTATTGATGGAATTACACAATACCGATGAAAGCCTTCACAATAGCCTAGAGAAAAAAGAAGAAAGAATTTCAAAGCTAGAGGACATGTCTTTTGAATTAACCCAATCAAATAAAAACAAAAAATTATTTTTTAATTCACAAAGCTTTCAAAAAATATGAGATTATGTAAACTGTCCAAAGCTATGAGGAATACATATTCCAGAAAAATAAGAAATAATACAAAGTATGAAAATCCTATTTGAGGGACAAATTCAGGAAAAATTCCTTGGTCTTGCTAGAGGTCTAGACATCCAGATACAAGAAGCTCAGATAACTCCTGGACACATAATTCAAGATGAGCTTCACCAAGGCATATGATTATCAGGATATTCAAAGTCTACATGAAGAAAAATGACCTAAAAGCAGCAAGAGAGAAGTGTCTAATCACTTATAATGGAAATCTCATCAGCCTAACAGTGGAATTCCCAGAAGAAACTTTTTAAGGCAGAAAAGATTAGGGTTTTCTTGACCGTCTTTTTATGAAAAAGAAAATGCCAGCCAAGAATTTTGTATCCTAATAAACTAAGCTTTAAAAATGATTGAGAAATAAAGTCTTTCCTAGACAAGGACATACCAAATGAATTTGTCACCACTAAGCTAGACATACAGGAAATCCTCAAAGGAGTTCTAAACATGAAAACAAAAGGCAACAGTTATCATCATAAAACATGTGAAAGTATAAAACTCACAAATCTTATAAAACAATTGCATAATCAAGACTACAAAGCATCTAGGTAATAATTAACATTATGACAGGAACAAAAACTCTCTTATTGATACTAATTTTAAACATACATAACATAAATGGACTAAATACTTCACTAAAAGTTATAGGCTTGAAGAATGAATAAGAGAACAAAATCCAAGGATATGCTACATACAGGAAAATCACCCAGCTGGTAAAGAATTTGACAGACTCAAAGAAGTGGACAAAAATATTCTATGCAAACCGAAACCAAAAGCGAGTAGGAGTAGCTATATTTATTTCAAATAAAACAGACTTTAAATCGACAACAGTAAAAACACAAAGATGATCTTTATGTAATGATAAAGAGATCCATTCATTAGGAAGATATAACAATTACAAATATATGTGCCCTTGACACTGGAGCAGTGAGATTAAAACAAAAACACTACAAGTAAGAAAAGAGATAGACAGCAATACAATAATAGTCGGGGTCTGCAATATGTCACTGAAAGCACTAGACAGATCATTGAAGTAGAAAGTCAATGAAGAAACTCTGGATTTAAATAGCACTCTAGACCAAATGGACATAACAGACGTTTACAGAATGTTCTACTTTACAATAGTAGAATGTATATTTTTCTCACGTATATGTGCAACATTTTAGAAAATTGATCCTATGCTAGACCAGAAGGCAAGTCTTTACAAATTTTAAGAAAACTGGAATCGTATCAAATATCTTCTTGTGACACATTGAAATAAAACTAAAAATCAATAACAAATAAAACCATCAAAATTATACAAATACATGAAAATTAAATAACCTGCTCCCAAATGATTTTTGGGTCAATGATGAAATTAAGGTGGAAATTTAAAAAAAAATGGAAACAATTGAAAATAGAGGAACAACAAACCTCTGGGATACAGCAAAAGCAGTGCTATAAGGGAAGTTTATAGTAGTAAATGCCCACATCAAAAAGACAGAAAAATCTCAAATTAACAAACATTGAACTTTAAGAAACTAGAAAAGCAAGAGCACAATACACACAAAGCTGGCAGAAGAAAAAAAAAGATCAAAGCAGAACTAAATGAAATGGAGAGCAAAACAACAAAAAGACAAGGCTCAATGAAATAAAATGTTTGTTCTCTGTTAAAAATGATAGATGGCTAGCTTGAATAACCAAGAAGAAAAGAGAGAAGATTCAAATAAGCACAATCAGAAATAATAAATATTTCGTTAAAACTGATATAACAAAAATACAAAATATCATCACTGACTAACAGGAACATTATATGCACACAAACTCAAACTAGAAAACCTAAAGAAAATAGATTAATTTCTGGAGACATATAACCCCCAGGATTAAACTAAGAGAAAATAGAAATCCCATACAGCCTAAAAAAAAAGTGGTGAAAATGAATCAGTAATTAAATGTTTCTCAACAACAGAAAAAAAAGTCCAGCACCAGATAGATTCACAGTCCAATTCTACCATATGTACAAGGGAGAAGTGATGTCAATCCTACTGAAATTCTTCTAAAAAATTGAAGAGTAAGGAATCCTCCCTAATTATATGAATCCAACATCACTTTGATACCAAAGCCAGGCAAGGACACAACAAAAAAGAAAACTCCAAACCAATATCCCTCAAGAACACAGATGCAAAAATCCTCAACAAAATATTAGCAAACCAAATCCAACAGCACATTAATTCAATGATATACCACAATCAAGTTGGTTTTAGTTCAGGAATGCAAGGTTGGCTCACCATATGCAAATTAATAAACATGATTCACCACATAGATTTTTAAAAAATCCATATGATCACCTCAATCGATGCAGGAAAAGCATTTGATAAAATTCCACATCCTTCATGATAAAAAAGAAAATCTTACCAAAGTAGGTAAAAAAGGAACACACCTCAAAATAATAAAAGTCTTGTATGACAAATGTAAAACCAATATCAGGAAAGTTGAAAGCGTTCTCCCTAAGAACTAGAACAAGAAAATTATGCCCACTTTCACCACTCCTATTGAGTATAGTACTGGAAGTCCTAGCCAGTGCAATCAGGCAAGAGAAAAACATTAAAGACAACCAAACTGGAAAAAGAGGAAGCTAAATTATCTCTTTCCACTGATGATATTATCTTACACCTAGAAAACACTGAAGAACCCTCTCAAAGACTCTTACATTTCATAAATGACTTCAGTAGGGTTAGGATACAAAATCAATGTACAAAAAAACTAGCAGCATTTCTATACACCCAATTATGGTAAAGCTGGGAACCAAACAAAGAACTAAATCCCATTCACAATAAGTTAAAAAAAAAGATATTTAGCAATACAATCAACCAAGTAGGTGAAAGAGCTCTACAAGGAGAACTACAAAACTCTGATGAAATAAATTATAGATGACATAAACAAATGGAAAATCATCTCATATTCATGAATAGGAAGAACCAATATCATTAAAATGAACAAAATGCTCAAAGCAATCTACAAATTCAGTGTAATTGCTATCAAATTACCGATGTCATTTTTTCACAGAATGAGAAAGACAATTCTGAAATGTATATGGAACTAAAAAAGAGGCTGAATAGCCAAAACAATCTGGAGCAAGAGAAATAAAGCTGAATACCTTAATTTCAATTATACTACAAAGTTATAGTAACCAAAACAGCATGGTACTGATATAAAATTAGACACCTAGACGAATGGAAGAGAATAGAGAACCCAGAAGTAAAGCCACATACCTACAACCAACTCACCTTTGAGAAAGTTGACACAAATGTACACTGGGGAAAGAACACCCTATTCAATAATTGTTGCTAAAAATTTGGAGAGGCATGTGTAAAATAATGAAACTGGTTCTTCATGTTTCATTACATACAAAAATTAACTAAAAATAGATTACAGCCTTAAATGTAAGACCTGAAACTGTAAAAATCTAAGAAGAAATTCTAGGAAAAACTCTTCTTATTATTGGCCTAGGCAAAGAATTTATGATTAAGCCTTCAAAAGGAAGCACAACCAAAACAAAATAGACAAGTGGAAGTTAATTAAACTAACAAGTTTCTACACAGCAAAAGGAATACTCAACAGAGTAAAGAGAAAACCTACAGAAGGAGAGAAAATGTTTGCAAACAATGCATCCAACAAAGGGCTAATATCCAGAACGTGTGAGGAACTCAAAAAAGAGGTAAATAACAATTAAAAAC
Source organism: Homo sapiens (assembly GCF_000001405.40). Classification (NCBI taxonomy): domain Eukaryota; kingdom Metazoa; phylum Chordata; class Mammalia; order Primates; family Hominidae; genus Homo; species Homo sapiens. The sequence continues at coordinate 66,553,816 of NC_000006.12, read as the reverse complement.
TGGGCACAGAACATGAGCAGGCACTTTTTAAAACAAGATGTACAAGTGGCCAAAAAACATATGAAAAAATGCTCAACATCACTAATCATCAGAGAAATGCAAATTAAAACCACAGTGAAGTCTTACATTACTCAAAATGGCTATTATTAGAAAGTGAAAAAAAAAACAACATATGTTGGCAAGGATGTGGAGGAAAAGGAATGCAGGAAAAGAAACAATATAAGCACTGATGTTGGGTATGTGAATTAGTACAATCTCTATGAAAAACGGTATGGAGATTTCTCAAATAACCAAAAGTGGAACTAACCTTCAATCCATTAATCTCAAAAGAAAACAAATCATTTGTGTATATATCCAAAAGAAAAGAAATCGTTTTACCAAAAACATCTTCACTTTTTGTTTTTTCCAGCAATATTCACAATAAAAAAGTCATGGAATCAACCTGTGGCTATCAACAGATGATTAGATTCCAAAAGTGTTTATATATGTACACACACAAAGACACACACGGAATTCTACTCAGCCGTTAAAAAGAAAAAACAGGAATGGAACTGAAAACCATTATCTTTAGTGAAATAACTCAGAAGATCAAAAAACACATGTTCTCACTTATAAGTGGCAGTTAAACAATGGGTACTCATGAACATGCAGAGTGAAATAATAGACATTGGACATCCCAAGAGTTGGGAGTGTGGGAGGGGGTGAGAGATGATATACTACCTATTGAGTGCAATGTGCACTATTCAGGTTATGTGTAGGGTAAAAGCCTAGATTTCACCACTGTACTACATGTCAATGTAAAAACCTGCACTTGTAATCCTAAATCTATTAAAATTAAAATAAAATACTAATACAACAAAAAATTCAAAAAATAAAAGTTATGGCATGAGCTATGACTTCTAGTGAGGAATGAATCATTTTAAGCCAATTTTTATTTTCAAAGATCACTATGTGTGTGACAGACATGGCTTTCTGGAACTTCACAGACTTCAAATGCAACCTCTCCCAGTACATAAAGATATTTCTCAACTCTTATAATTCTTAAGCCCACATTGAGAACAATTTATTAAAACATTTTTTTCTAACTTTTATTTTAGGTCTGGGGGTACATGTGCAGGTTTGTTACGTGGGTAATTTTTGTGTCACAGGGTTTTGGTGTACAGATGATTTTTGTCATACAGGTAACAAGCATAGTACCTGATAGGTAGTTTTTTGACCCTTACCTTCCTCCCACCCTCCACCCTCATGGAGACCTTGTATCTATAATTCCTTTCTTCTGGTCCGTGTGTACTCTGTTCAATGCTTAATTTAATAATAATAATAGTAATAATAAAAGTTATTCTATCCTAATCCTATTCAAATAACTTGCCAGAAAACATAAGTAAAAATTGCATGTATCATAATATTTTCTACCTTGGTAATGCCTACATGATATTAAATGTCAAAATAGTCAAATGAAAAAGAAAATTAGATAAAGTTACAAAGATGGTTACAGATATTCCATCCTTAGCATCTAAGCAACTGAGGTTATGGTTAATAAAACGCAGTTTTGTGGAGTTTTTTTTGTTTCACTCTGATATAAACTTCTCAACATCAAAATATGTGAAAGTAAATTTTCATTATTTGTTTTCCAGACAAAATATCTGAACTAAATACGTTGTCACATGTCTTTTGTACCATAAAAAAGAATTTTTCAGTTGTCTAGAATAATGTAGTTGATCCTCAACAAATGAGAAAATAATAAAACTAGTATAGAAAATACGTATTTTCAAAGGAACTTGAGGTGGAAAAAGATGAACTGATGCAAATAAAAAGGGTTTAAAATGTGACTTCCCATGTGTTTGATAAATCATCCCTGAGGTTGCTGACATCTCACTTTTTTTTTTTTTTTAATGGAGTCTTGCTCTGACACCCAGGATGGAGTGCAGTGGCACAATCTCATCTCACTGCAAGCTCCACCTCCCAGGTTCACGCCATTCTGCCTCAGCCTCCCGAGTAGCTGGGACTATAGGCACCCGCCACCATGCCCGGCTAATTTTTTCGTATTTTTAGTAGAGACGGGGTTTCACCGTGTTAGTCAGGATGGTCTCAATCTCCTGACCTCGTGATCTGACAGGCCCCAATGTGTGATGTTTCCCTCCCTGTGTCCATGTGTTCTCGTTGTTCAACTCCCACTTATAACTGAGAACACACGGTGTTTCTTTTTTTCTGTCCTTGTGATAGTTTGCTCAGAATGATGGTTTCCAGCTTCATCCATGTCCCTGCAAAGGACGTTAACTCATTCTTTTTTATGACTGCGTAGTATTCCATGGTGTATTTGTGCCACATTTTTCTTTATCCAATCTATCATTGATGGGCATTTGGGTTGGTTCCAAGTCTTTGCTACTGTAAATAGTGCTTCAATAAACATATGTGTGCATTTGTCTTTATAGTAAAATGATTTATAATCCTTTGGGTATACGCCCAGTAATGGGATTGCTGGGTCAAATGTTACTTCTGGTTCTAAATCTTTGAGTAATTGCCACACTATCTTCCACAATGAATAAACAAATTTAGACCCCCACCAACAGTGTAAAAGCGTTCCCGTTTCTCCACATCCTCTCCAGCATCTGCTCACAACATTTTGGAACCTTGCCTTGTCCACTACATTTGCTGAGATATATTCTAGATCTATTCTTAACTGCAACTTTGATTTTCTATAATTCTAGTCTTTTCACATTTCCTTAGTTACTTAATTGCTTTGTGAGCTGAGCAGCAGGGTAGTAAAGTAAAGCATTTTACTACTTTACATATTTTTTTCTTTTGTCATTTTATCACGATAATAGATGGCTTCAAAAACCAAGCAAGTTTAGAAAAAGAGTTAACAGTGTTCTTGCTCAGTTGTTCTTCATAGATTTATATGTCATAAATAAATTAATGACAGTGTCGAGTAGCAAGAAGAGAATTGTAGAAAATATTTTCTTTTTCTATTAAGACAAATATCATGTAATTCAGCAAACTTTGTCTTACTCCACAGTATTGAATCTCAAAAATTGTGGGTAAACTGAAATTTACCATGAAACTGGGGTTATACATTTTAGATTGCAATTTATGTTATTAAATAACCAAATAGCATGCATGTTATGTTTCAGGCAGTTAAAATATTTCCTTTGCTTAAGATAATTAACAGAAGTCCTATAAAAGAAGTGGAATAGAACAAATAATTTGACTAAATATACACATATGTATTTCTTACTCAAATATATATACTTATTGTAATCATTTTTAATGTTAATGTCTAAAATCAAAGAAAAATTTGATTAAGATATTTCTTTAGTAACTCCATAACCATATTTTTATATTAGAGACTTAAAAGCTGTAATTGTCGTTAAACAAATAGCATTTTAATTAATTAACAGTTGACACTATGTAAAATCTGTTCTGTTCGTCAGTGGACCAAAGGGATGAGTTGTAAAATGATAGAGGACATTAGTTTCCTAATTCACAGTGTATATTGAATGTTTAATAGTTTGGAGGATGTTTTGCTACTATTTTTCTACAACATTGTACCTATCTATTCATGCACTAAATCTCTCTTTCTCCACAACCCTTCATTCGTGAATGTGTGTAACTAAAAATATCTTCACGTTTACTTTATTTTCTTCATATTTTCATCATTCTTCAACAACTTACAATATTTATCCTAATTATAATTATTTTAAATATTATCTATCTTAACTTTGAAACAAGTATAAAGAATATAATCCAACAATCACATAAATGGTCAAAATTAGAGAATATATATACGTATTTATTTATCATATTAATTTCAGATTTTATAATAAACAGAAAAAATAGACATTTTTTATAACCTACCTTGGTTCATTTTCATTCCTTCCTAACTGTATTATTAATTTATCTAATGATATAGCATTATTTTGTAAGATTCTTCTTTAAGCTTATATATATTACACAATAATAATTTATATTACTTAATCAATTTGTATTTATGTTTTTGCATCTATATTAATACAGATGAATTTTATTTCATCTTTTGGATT